>NC_000003.12:106432846-106735877 GCF_000001405.40 Homo sapiens
CATGAGACCTAGGCTCAGAATAGGCACAATGTTACTTTGCCAAAGCAATTCATAAGACTAGCCCAAAGTCAAAGTGAATGGAGACTGCAAAGTTACAGCATGGAGAGGACTGATAAGAGCCCATTATTTGGAGCCATCAATACAATAATTCTACAAAATATTATCCGTCTGTAAGCATTGCTGTGAGAATTAATCCACATAATCTTACTTGTGTAGTGTCGGGTATATGATAAAAACTGGCAAGAAACCATCCTATTATATGGAGCTGAAATAGTTTGTCTTCTCATTTAAAAGATGTTTGCTAAATAGAAGGGCAATGACTGAATTCCTCTATTATTGGTATTTAAGGACTTTTTTTTTTTTTTTGACAGAGTCTCGCTCTGTCGCCCAGGCTAGAGTGCAGTGGCGCGATCTTGGCTCACAGCAAGCTCCGACTCCCGGGTTCACGCCATTCTCCTGCCTCAACCTCCCAAGTAGCTGGGACTACAGGCGCCTGCCATCACGCTCGGCTGATTTTGTGTTTGTGTTTTTAGTAGAGACAGGGTTTCACCGTGTTAGCCAGGACGGTCTCGATCTCCTGACCTCGTGATCTGCCCGCCTCGGCCTCCCAAAGTGCTGGGATTGCAGGTGTGAACCACCGCGCCCGTCAAGAAAAAAAATTCCCAAAGCAGTTGTCATTGCAAGAAATAAAGCCTCCATTCCCAACATCCTCTAAATCAGGAGTCAGAAAACATTTTCTGTAAAGGGAAAGGTATTAACTAGTTTAGGCTCTGAGGGCCTTCTGTGTCTGTCACAGCTATCCGATTCTGCTGTTGTAGTGAGAAAGCAGCCATGGATAGAAACATCAACAAACTGGCACATCTATGTTCTAATAAAACTTTATTTACAATATCAGAAGGTAGGTCATATTTGGCCCACAAGTCATAGTTTACTCTTCCTTGTGCTAAATGACATAGCGTATTAAAAACTGCAGAGCTGGCCGGATGCAGTGGCTCAAGCCTGTAATCCCAGCAATTTGGGAGGCCGAGGCGGGCAGATCACGAGGTCAAGAGATTGAGACCATCCTGGCCAACATGGGGAAACCCTGTCTCTACCAAAATTACAAAAAATTAGCTGCGCGTTGTGGCACGTGCCTGTAGTCCCAGCTACTCCGGAGGCTGGAGGCAGGAGAATTGCTCGAACTTGTGAGGCGGAGGTTGCAGTGAGCTGAGATCGCGCCACTGCACTCCAGCCTGGCGACAGAGCGAGACTCCATCTCAAAAACAAAACAAAACAAAACAAAACAAAACAAAAAACTGCAGAGCTTACAAAGAGCTTCACTGATTGGTACAATTTATTCTTAAATTCATTAGAGTTCTCTTTCCTTTGTTTCTGAGTTTTTAGTATGTCATTATTGAATTATTATGAAGCAAATACCTCCAAATACCAAACAATCAATATTTAAAGTCTCTCTGTTGTACTATATTATGCCTGTATTTATGGTTGAGGTATTTTACAAACTTTTTGTGGTATAAAAAACCAGAATAGGAAAATGCTTTGTTTGCATTCAAACAGTTCTTTAATAATATGGTTTATTTAGATGATTGATAAAGGTATACTACATATACATTAAAAGTATATTATAAATCACATCTTTTCATTTGTGTAATTTATTATTCTGAAGTTGAATACAATGTGACTTTAATCTATGAGTAGAAAGAATAAAGTCATAAAAGTTGGCTATAGCTATTCTTTGGCTCCCTAAAACACAGCAGCATTTATTTTGGATTCTCTAAATTAATTGATACTGGTTTTAAAGCTATGATAACATGGGCCATCATAAGGCATCATATATTAATGGATCCATCTAGTAAAAAGTTTGGCTTTTCACTTTTCTGAGAGCTATCTTTGAGACAAAGACCTTGTTTCAGCTAGTCACTGACTCTTTGTTTATGGTGAGTATTGGCTATAGGATGGGGGAGAAAAAATCACTCAGGAAATGTTGAAAATCTTCAAATATATGTTTGGATAAAGCAAAAAACAATAATTTCATTACAACTATTTTTATAAATTTCCATGGCAATGACTACTATTTCAGAAAAGTTAGGGCAGATACAGTGGCTCAGGCCTGTAATCCCAGTACTTTGTGAGGTAGAGGTGGAGTATCACTTAAGGCTGGGAGTTTAAGACCAGTGTAGGCAACACAGTGAGACCCCATTTCTACAATTTTTGTTTTGTTTTGTTTTGTTTTGTTTTGTTTTGTTTTAGGTGGAGTCTCCCTCTGTTGCCCAGGCTGGAGTGCAGTGGTGTGATCTTAGCTCACTGCAACCTCCGCCTCCCGGGTTCACGCCATTATCCTGCCTCAGCCTCCCGAGTAGCTGGGACTACAGGCACGCGCCACCACGCTTAGCTAATTTTTGTATTTTTAGTAGAGATGGGGTTTCCCCGTGTTGGCCAGGATGGTCTTGATCTCCACCTCATGATCCACCCACCTCTGCCTCCCAAAGTGCTGGGATTACAGGCGTGAGCCAACACAGCTGGCCTCTACAAAAAATTTTTTAAAAATAGCAGGGTGTGATAGCACACGCCTGTAGTCCCAGCTACTCGGGAGGTTGAGCTGAGATGGTTGCTTAACCTTGGTAGGTTGAGGCTGCAATGAGCTGTGATCATGCCACTGCTCTCCAGACTGGGCCATATAGTGAAAGCAATAAAGAAAGAAAAGAGAGAGACAGAGAGAGAGAGAAAGAAAGAAAGGGGGAGAGAGAGGGAGGGAGGGAGGGAGGAAAGGAAAGAAGGAAGGAAGGAAGGAAGGAAGGAAGGAAGGAAGGAAGGAAGGAAAGAGAGAGGGAGAGAAAGAAAGAAAGAAGAAAAGAAAAGAGGGAGGGAGGGAAGGAAGGAAGGAAGGGAAGGAGAAGAAAAAGAAGACAGAGACAGAAAGAGAAAGAGAAAGGAAGGAAAGAGAGAAGGACAAGAAATAAAGAAAAAGAAAGAGAGAAAGAAAGAAAGGAAGGAGGGAGGGAGGGAAGGAAGGAAGGATGGGAAGGAGAAGAAAGAAAGAAAGAGAAAGGAAGGAAGGAGAGAGAGAAAGAAAGACAGAAAGAAAAGTTAAGAAAGAAAGAAGGAAGGGAGGGAGGGAAGGAAGGGAGGGAGAAGAAAAAGAAAGAAGACAGAAAAAGAAAGAGAGGGAGGGATAAAGAGGGAGAAAAAGAAAGAAGAAAAAAAGAAAGAGGAAGGAAAGAGAGAGAAAGACAGAAAAAGAAAGAAAGGAAGGAGGGAGGGAGGAAAGAAGGAAGGAAGGATGGGAAAGAGAAGAAAAAGAAAGAAGAGAGAAAGGAAGAAAGAAAGGAAGGAAGGAAGGAAAGAAAGAGAGAAAGAAAGAAAGAGAAAGAGAAAGGAGGGAAGGAGGGAGAGAAGGAAGGAAGGACAGGAAGGAGAAAAAAAGAAGACAGAAGATGAAAGAAAGAAAAAGAAAGAGAAAAAGAAAGTAAAGAAAGAAAGAAGAAAGAAAAAGAAAGAAAGAATGAGAAAGAAAGAAGAGAGAGAAGGAGGGAGGAGAAAGGGAGAAAGAAGTCATTAGTTCACTTATATTTGCAATTTTAGGAAAGTTAAGTCGTTGGTTCATTTATATTTGCAATCTCTAAATATCTCTCACTTAGCAACTCAGTTTTCCCAATTATTTTTGTCACAAATATGTGTATTTTTGTTGTTTTCTTGGTGTTTATAATCTGTATGATCTCAGAACTATATTTATCCTTACTGCTCTTTACTTATTTGTTTATTTTAATTTTCACCATGCCAACTGTACAAATGATTTTAGGTAACTTATAAATCAACTGCTTTTAGAAACAAACCCTTACTTAATACAAGGACACACAGGCCTTTGTGCTTGTAAAATTAAGTGGAGGAGAAAAAAGAGAGATAATTCTTCCAACAGCTTGAATAAAATGATGATTACATTTGAATATTCAATTTTGTGTTGAACATGGTGGGAATCAAAGCAAAAATGAAATAATGGTCATTTATTCGTTTTTTACTGTAGATAAAAAGAAATGCCAAATTCTAGTGAATAGACACTTTTTTGAAATTATATACTAACAGAAATTTGACAAATATTTCTCAGAAGATGAAAGCTTGTCCATCTTTTCTTTCCTACAAAGTATTGTGAAAAGCCAAAGAAAAAAGTACAAAAACTTTATAAGGTGACCAGTGAGCTTGACTAAGAAAGTCTAAATGTATTTTCTGGTTATCTAAAATGATACAAGCATAGGATTTTGAAAGTATAATAAAATAAATGAATGCATAATAGTTCTTACAGCTTATACCTAATAGCTTGATTGTTAATTCTTACCATTGATAGACACCTTGCTAAATATAGATAAATTCAATAAATTCATTATCCCTGTATGATGATGACAGTCTTCCCCAAAATAGAAATTCAGAATTGTCTGCTTAAAACATAGTGACTTAAAACTATTACATTTAAATACACCAAAAGAATTTTAAGTTTTATTTTTAAATGACAGGAGCTCTTGAAAATAAAGCCAGTATAGAAATTTTGTTGGCTAAGGAGAAATATTTTCTCAATAATTTGAGAAAGATTTTTATTGTAAGTCAATCCTTCGTATTTATTTTATGAGTTCAGTCCATGATGATATGCACTGTGTCTATCACATAATTTTTTAGATATTGTGAATGATTCCAGATTAAAGAACATTATTTTTATACAAACAATAAGCATTTCTTATTTAAGTGCACAGCCAAAATTTTGCCATATTATGAATGATCTGAGATTCTGCTTCTCTGTCTGTGTCCTTTAAAAGAATCAGGTCTTTGGCTGTTTAATAGCATAGAAAGACCAATTATCAATAAATTTTACAGGTCATGTTGGTTACAGTTTTTTTTCTATGGAAAGAGAGACAAAAACTGTTGAACTTAGCAGGTCTCAGCTGAGCTTGAGGACATTTCAGGAAATGCATTTAAAAGGGAGTTGAACTGGACTTTCCCATTTTAGGCTTAGAGAAGCCATCAGATCATTACATGCCTTTCTCCATTTCAGCAGGGCAACGATGCTGTCTTGGAGTACAGTACGGTGCTCTATTGGCACCTCTTGTGCCCCAATTCATAGTATAAATTTTAGTGCCCAGTGTCATGTAGGTGAGCATCAAGTAGATACTGTTAATTAACCTACTCCTATAAAATTGCTTTTCTGGTTGCCTGGTTGATTTCCCCTATTTTGTGTTTTCTTCCTTGTCATCTTCTGAATATATTATTGTGTTGAATGAGGCTTGTTCAACCAAATTAGTGTGAAAGACTTATTCCTTCAGTTTCACTAATTTTTCCCTTTCTCTTATTATTAGCAGCTGGCATTTACTGAGTACTTAATAAGGGCCAGCTTTAAGGGCCATACACATATTAATGGATTGAATCTAAACAACAATCCTAGGAGATGGGTACTTTTAGAATCATCTCTTTACAGATGAAGACAAAAAGGCAATCCACCGGTTCAAGGTGATACAGCCAGTAAGTGAGAGAGCCAGGATTCTATCGCAGGCATCCTAATTTTAGAACGTTCTCTGACACCATTAATCTATTCTATCTCCCAAACATTGAAGAACAAATTAGGCCAAATGCCTTGTTCCACCACTTAGCAGTTGTGTTATTTTAGTCAGGTCACAGAGACCAATTAAGCCTAAATTTCCTCATCTCTAAAAAGAGGTCTAATATCCTCACCAAAGCATAGTTTATGGGCATGAGATGAAGACATACACATAGCAGACATTTGTAAAATCTAAACATAATTATGCAAATGTAAGGAAAACAATATTTTTTTAATTATTGTAATGGCTGAGGAAGAAAACTGTCTTTTCACTCATGAAAGGTGGGGAGGGTTAATGGAAGAAAAGGTAAATATTTACTAAGTGTCTTTTTCACAGATGAAATTATAGACTCAAAGGGAGCAAAGCAAAAGATGATTTAGTATAATAACAAATCAGCGATTTTACTCATAGTTTTCTTGAAAGAATATAGTTGTGATTTGATCGATTATGCATGCATGTCAGTAGGTAAAATAACTGATTCATACTGGAGTGAAATATTAAGTGTAAAATTTAAATACATTGTCTTGGGAAAGATGGTGGCAATGGCACTATTTTTTGTCTGGAGTCAGATGGCATTGTGCTTAGAGAGCTTTACGGAGCAGATGTGTCTTTAGCTGAATGGATATGATTAGGCTAAGAAAGGAGGGGAGGGCACTTGGGTATAAGAAATGACAGGTGGGTTGATTCAGAAGCTCAAATGCATAAAGCACATTGACAAGCTAGTCATCCTGGCTGACATGGAATATGACATTAGTGTGAAAGAGGGAATTAAATAAAGAGGATTCTCCAGAGTATTTTAAATCTTAGATTTTATGTAATAGAGTGTTAGTTATATTTATGCATGTTAACATTTTTTAAAGCATAATTTTTGAAGAAAGCAAATAGCAAAGAAATAATGAACACAACTTTATTGTGCAGCTTTGTCTTTGATAAAGAAGAGATGAAACTGTTCAACTTAGTTTGTAATTTAGTCATTAAAGTAGATTTTTCTGATTGGAAGACAAAAATAACAGGTTTAAACCTTGGCTTTATTTAAACGAAAAGAGATGTTAAGTTATATATTTTGATTTTTTTTTTTTTTTGAGATAGAGTCTCACTCTGTCGTCAGGCTGGTGTGCAGTGGCGCAATCTCGGCTCACTGCAAGCTCCGCTTCCCGGGTTCAAGTAATTCTCCTGACTCGGCCTCCCTAGTAGTTGGGACTACAAGTGCATGCCACCATGCCCAGCTAATTTTTGTATTTTTAGTAGAGAGGTGGTTTCACCATGTTGGTCAGGATGGTCTCCATCTCTTGACCTCCTGATCTGCCCACCTCGGCCTCCCAAAGTGCTGGGATTACAGGTATGAGCCACCATGTCTGGCCGACCTATTTTTATTTTTAATCTGCATGTGAAAGTTCAAAAAATACAGATGGGGGGAGTGACATCTTTAAATGTAGTGGTGGACTTTTCTCTTAGAAAAGTTGTTAACTCTTGAGGATCTGAGCTATCGCCAAACAATACCATTCAAGATAATTTGCAGGAAAAAACAAGCATTTACACAATTATTACTAAAGAGGTTAATTACTGTATTTCTAAAGAATTTGTTTTTTCAAAACATTATTATTTATCAATACTCACAGCAATTTTCTTGGGTAAATGTTATTATTCCCATTATAAAGAAGAGAAACCTGAGGCTTAACAAAAGGAAGTGATTTATATGAAGGACAAGAGATTAAGGTGGAACATGGATTTATCCCCAGTATTTTGACCTTAGCTTTCCAGACTCTACAACTATCTTTTAGTACCTAAGTTTGCTGAATTCATGAGGTTAATAAATTGTTTGAAGCCCTTGTGTTTCTCAATTTCTGAAAGCAAAGTAAATCATTAAATAAGTAAACAAACAGTTCTCTTTAAAAAGAGATGTCAAATTTAATTAAGCAGTTATTGACATTGATTTTAAATAAAAACATCATTAACTTGTACTTAGATGCTGCTATTAAAAAACTTCCTTTTTTATTTTTATATTGTTGAGTTTGTAAAATAATAATGTTAGAGATCAAAGGAAAAAAATGAGTTTCCTCTCCTTCACCAATAACTTGTAAATAAGGGAAATACATAAGATAATGCTCTGATAGCTCATTTAGGAAAATCAATGAACCTAATGAATGAGTAGTCTGGTTTAAAACAGTTTCTGGCAAACAGCCTTATAAATTTTCACAAAATTATCTATTACATTAAGAAAAAGAGGTAAATTCACAAGACTTACATATTATCATACATCGGATTAATGCTGTCTGGGAATAATTTCTACTAAATATAAGTTGAGAGAAACTATAAATAGATTAAGGTGACAAATGTTTTTTCTTCTATGTTTTGCCCCATGAAACATAATGACATCCTGTAGCTGAAAGGATATGGGAATATATATACAGCAAGCCTCTCATTAATGTATAACTTCTTGCTCAGAGAGCCAGGGTCTACTCCAACCACAAAACTGCATGATCACCTCCTGCTGTGCAACTTCCAGACAATAAAATGACACAAATTGAAACTCTGAAATGTTGCACCCTGGGTGGCAGAGTCCCAATAAATACGGTGCTACAGACTGGGCTAGAAAAGGGAAATTTTTGAAAGTAGTAAATGAAAATAACTGTAGTTTTTCATATACTCTCTAATATGGCATGTCAGAAGAATAGCTAAAAGGATAAGCAGGGAAAAAAATCTCATTAAGAGTATGAGGCTTGGCCAGGCATGGTGGCTCGCACCTGTAATCCCAGCATTTTGGGAGGCAGAGGTGGGTGGGTTGCTTGAGGTCAGGAGTTCAAGACCAGCCTGGCCAACATGGTGAAACCCCGTCTCTACTAAAAGTACAAAAAATTAGCTGAGCAAGTTGATGCATGCCTGTAATCCCAGCTACTCAGGATGCTGAGGCAGGAGAATCCCTTGAACCCAGGGTGGTGGAGGTTGCAGTGGGCTGAGATCGCACCATTGCACTCCAGCCTGGGTGACAAAGTGAGACTCTGTCTCAAAAAAAATAAAATAAAATAAAAGAATTTGAGGCTTGCTAGATGAAATAACTGAAAGTTCAGTGAGGAAATATACTAACCTGTCCTCATGCTGTCTATTTGAGAGGGGCTTTTAACCATATTCAAATACCAACCCCCAAAGTCTTCTTTGCAAACACAAGTCTGAATATATTTCCCCTTTTTAGAGGAAAAATTAATATTCAAAATATACTAATAAACAACATGGGATCTCTGAAGAAAAACAGCACCACGAAAGACAGGGTATATTATGCCTTTGTCTCCAAAACAGATAAACAAACTTACCAATATAATTGATTTCCTGGAATAGCTCAACTAATCCTAACTGAAAACTTGGACAAGTAACATATCATTCTGTGTCTCAGTTTTCTCAACTGTAAAATGGGGATAATAATTGCTCTCACATATTTGCTCTTAGGATTGAAGACCCTAATAAACATGGAACATATAGAACCGTTATAAATCCTGAATACATTCTTCTCCTGTTCCGTTGTTCCTCCCCCTCACCCCTTTCTTCTCAGACAACATATTAGAAAACTTCTTATGATACTAGAAACTGTAGCCACTCTAAGAAAAAGCAAATATCTATGAGAAAAGAAGAAGCTATGATACAAAGAGAATAGCATGCAAAGAAAAGTTAAGTGAAAGTAGAGCTAAATAAGACATGTGAAAGCTGAAGAAACTTTAAGATTGTCAGGCCGGGCACAGTGGCTCACGCCTGTAATCCTAGCACTTTGGGAGGCCAAGGCGGGCAGATCACGAGGTCAGGAGATCGAGACTATCCTGGCTAACACGGTGAAACCCCGTCTCTACTAAAAATACAAAAACAAAATTAGCCGGGCGTGGTGGTCCCAGCTACTCGGGAGGCTGAGGCAGAAGATAATCACGTAAGATAGTAAAGAGAAAATAATGTGGGAACTGAATCAGTAAATAATTGAACATTAACTCAATTTATATGTACTGAATAGATACTATGAGCCTAGCATTGTACCAAACTCTAGGAATAAATTTTTTTTAAAGAATGATGATTAAGAACAGTTCTTGTTTTCAGGGAAATCAGTTTCTCTCTCTCTCGCCCTCTTTCTTCCACCCGACAACCTTCCTAATCTACCTGTCTAGATAGAAATAAAGTGACTGGTTCAGGTTTGGGCTGAAGACCCAGATTAGTTCCAGGGGGAAATTACAGGGGCTACAAGAAAAAAATGTCTTGCTCCCTGACCTTGAGTTTGAGAAAGTCTGAGGCTGAACGTGCTGTATAGCTATTCTCTGATCACAAGAAGAGACGCTTTCTGAGAATAAAGCCAACACAGAGGAAAGAGAGAAAAAAAAACAAAGAAACAAAACAGAAGCAAACAAGGTACCTTGGGTGGCATCACTGAGTATTTATGCCTGAGCTACTCCAAAAATTTTCAGTTACATGAAACCATCAATCCACTCTTTTTCTGCTTAAGCCACTTTTAATTGTTATTATTATTTAGCCACTGGCAACAGAAAAGATGATAGTGATGCACCGTGGTTAGCCATGCATTTCCAAGAGCATCAAGCTTTAACAAACATCATTAAAACAGCAAGTAAAATGTCAGTTGTAAAACATAAATACAATAGTTTTGAAAAGCCACATGAGGAAAAATGCACACTTTGTAGCTTACGAACATACAGTAAGATACTGAATTAATAATGTTATGATTCTTTAAGGGTAATTCAAAATTGCTACTTACTCCCTGTCTGCCAATCATTTATTTATTTAAAAGCAATCATAAATTTTTTTTATACTTTGAGAAAGAGAACTTCAGATGGAGCCAATTTATCAAGATTTATTTATCCCAAAGTATACCCATCCTGCTGAATCTAACTGGCTCATTCTCCAGCAAGCTACCTTTCTTCATTCTATGGCAGGCTGTATTTCCCCATGGGAAATGCTTTGGAATATGTAATTATCTCTACCTCCAAGATGGTCTGAGCACTGACAGATGTGGTATTCTGAAGACACCACAAGTACAGGTTAGCAGAACCAGGCTGGGTACAATCGATTAGTTCAATTGGTTTCAAATAGGCAGTGAAATTTAAAGTTTAAGCAGAAATAGTAAGTTGAGGACATCAATAAATGGAAGTAGCAAAATTTCATGAAAACTATTTGAAAGGTATTGGGAAAATCATCTTATCAAAATCTCTTACTAAACACATAATTTTTTTATGTTAGTGATGCATTATTTTAAATCTTTTAAGTTCTCTAATGAAATGCAAGTTTTTTGGGGGACACATAGCAGTTCAATTCCTAGCAAAGATTAGTAGGGTGCACCAGGTACTTTGCTAGGCTATGGGGATACAGACTAGTGAGAAAGGGGGCCTGCAAAAGAGTAGATTGTTCTGGTAGACAGCTTAGTCCATATCAGACTAAGCCATGTTTAGATTACACTGACTAGGGCACTGAATTGGAGCTAGAAGGAATGGTACCAAAAAGTAAAGAGAGATTCCAGCAGAGAGAAGAACGGCAACCCATGGAGCATATGGTTTTGCTAAGAGCTTCTCTTATGTAGTAAAAAAATGACTCTTCAAAACATCATGCATTTCTTCCCTCTGATATATTGAGGGGAAATTTACAACACAAATTCCTCCTGATGCTATAATTCTGGCCTCATATAAAGAAAGCTGTCTGTACCTACTAAGCCTCCCATGTTGCCTAATTTTCTTTCATTTCTCCCACAGATATTTATTAGGCACTGCTACATATGCAAGTCAAAATATGCTGGCTTTATAAACAAAGATAGAAAACAACTGTCATGCCAAATAGCAAAATATGGTTGAAAAAACTTTCTTTGTGTAAGTCTGGCATGAACAAAATGATTCCTCTAGAGAACCTACCTAAAAGGTGAATTCAGTTTCATTCGCAGCACCGCCACTGTTTATTTCACACTGAAACCAGTTTCTCCTTTCATTATTGTAGATCTAACCTAGGTTAAACTTCAAAAAAGTTATAGTATTTTTCTATCAGTCTTTCTTACACTTTTTTAAATGGTGAAACTATTTTATCAGTGATAGTCATCAATTCCATTTTCTATCCTCTACAAGGCTTCCTACTCCTGAGATTTTAATAGATGAAAAGACACTAATATTTATTGGCTCCCTTGTAAGAACCAGACATCATGCTGGAGACTTTTATAGATTATTTCACAATATGGTTTATGTTTTCCTACCTTTGAAAATGTTACTCTGATATTAACACAAACAGAATATGATGTGGTCTAAAAATTTGTCATTAGTTCTTACTTTTCTTGTGCAATATAAAATTAGAAGATAAAGCATTCATACCACTATTCTTGCAGCTCACTAGTAAGTAATATATTTTTAAATATCCTTCTCAGTGTATTGGTCTTTTATAATATGCTTACAGTTATATTTTAAGCTTTATTATTTTAATTATTTAAAAATCCATAATTATTAAAATTTTAAAAATATAGGTAAGTTCTATAGTTATAAACAGCTACAAAAAGGCTCTGTTAATTTTCATATATATCTACATATACAATGTTTATCGATCTATCTATCTATCTATGGAAAAGCAAGGAAACTTCTACCCCATGCTCATTAATGTCTTTTTGGATCCTTAGCCAATTTATGAAACACAATTCTATTTAGTGTTAGAAGGTCTATTGTCCTCTTCAGGCCATGATTAGGTCGTTATCAGCTTCAGTTGCTTTTTTTTTTTTTTTGAGACAGAGTCTAGCTCTGTCACCCTGGCTGGAGTTCAGTGGCATGATCTCAGCTCATTGCAACCTCTGCCTCCCAGGCTCAAATGATTCTCCTGCCTCAGCATCCCAAATAGCTGGGACTACAGGTATGCGCCACAAATGCCCAGCTATTTTTTGTATTTTTAGTAGAGACGGGGTTTCACCATGTTAGCCAGGTGGGTCTCGAACTGCTGACCTCAGGCAATCTGCCCCCTTCACACTTCCAAAGTGCTGAGATTACAGGCGTGAGCCACCGCGCCTGGCCCAGCTGCTTTTTAGGTAGGTGATAAGTAACTCCAATTGCTGAGAACATCGTCTTGAAACCATGTTTTCCTGGTAGCCTCCAAATAAGAGTTTTCTCCTCTAAAGACTCCAATATCATGTTCTGGTGAGTGTTCCTCAGCATGTGGTGAGAGCTGAAGTGGTGGCAGTCACTACTGATTGTGAGCAAGATAATTTTAGGGTGTATGAGATTAGCCACTAATTTAAATTGTTATCTCTTTCTTTTACCTGTCAACAGTTTTTTTGATCCCTTAAGATCACTTGTCACTTAGGTCAGCACCTAAATGCATTTGATACTACTCTAATTAATGTTAGAAAATAAGAGGAGTTTCACAACATTTGGCATATAAGTACAATTTAACAATATTAAATTACATTTCGTTGTATTTTTTGGGTGCTTACATTTTACATATGACAATAATGCTGGTTTTTCTATTCACAGTGTCGGTAAAAAGCTATCTTTTCAATAAACTTAATTTTCAAAGTGTGTATATTCATATGATAGAATACTCAGCAATGAAAAACAAATGAACTATTGATGCATGCAGCAACATTAGTGTGTAGAATGTTATGTTGTGTGAAGGACGCCAGATACTCAAGAAAAATACTGTATGTTTCTGTTGAAAGAGAACTCAAGAAGGGGCTAAACTAAGTTATAATAAAAAAATCAATAGTGTTTGCCTATGAGAAACTCTGGTTGACTGGAAAGGGGCATAAGGAAACTTTATAGAGTGGCGGAAATGTTCTGTATCCTGATTTCATGGTGTTTACACAGGTGTATAAATTTGTCAAAACTCATATAACTACACTTACCATCCACGTATTTTTACGTACACTTTAACTCAGTAAAGAGAGAGGGAGGGAGAAGGGAAGACAGAGGTAGAGCAAGAGAGAGTTTTGGGCAAAAGACTAGATATACTACATTGTGTTACACTGATTTGACTGAGACTGGGAATTGTCTTTCTCAGAATCTCTTTTCCTGTGTGGCTGAGAGAGGTTCTGCACAATTCAGAAGGCAGCTGTGAAGGAGTAGTCATTGTTACCAAAGGTAGCTGTGGTTAGACACGATGTCTGTCCATTACAGAGGTGCCCAGACTGTCCTTGCTAGCTTTGCTCCTTGCCCAGCTCCTCTTCCTGACTGCCCATCCTGTTGACCAATGGCAGCCCCAGGGGTACCCCAGACGTTTAGCTGTGTAGCCCAGTAGCTGCTTCTGGCTATGCAGCTTGTAGCTATTTTTATAGACTCTTTACAAAATTCCCCTTGGCAGTCTCACTTCAGAGGTGAATATATTTGATTTCTCACATGTTCCTACTACATATTGTCAGATAAAACGCAGGATATCAGTGAAATTTAAACTTTAGATAAACAATCAAATAGAAAAATTATACTCATATATTGCTTAAAGATGTTTATACTAAAAAGATGTGTTATTATCTGAAATTCAAATGTAATGGGGTGTTCTGTATTTTTAGTTGCTAAATCTGGCAATCTTATCCTTTAAGCTCTGACTGGATACCTGTACCTGTCCATCGATGGGGTGATGAGATCCTTTCTCTCTCTCTCAGACCTTCACTTCCCCTGCTTGTTGCGCATTATTGTAAGGTCTAATTACTATAAGTAACTAATCTAGTTAATGTCATAAAAATACATTATTTGTGCAACTCTTATGGTGGCTCTATTTTCCTGACTAAACTCTGACTGATATGGGAGGGGGGTCAGTTTAAAGGGAAACTTTAATTAAATGTACATTCATAAGAAAGTCACCTATGATCAAATTTCAGCAAGTGGTACAGCTGCTCTAACACTGCACATTTCTCTTCCTTTGACATTGTGGTTCACAGGACAGATCCTTTTCATGGAGTTTAGTTCAGCACTACGCTTACATAGGTGTGATACAAATTTGTTTTTCCTCATCTTTAAGCAGACATAGCACATTCTAACATACCTTAACTACGCTCAGAGAAGTCAACCTGCTATTATCATGAACAGACCATGGTTTTGGAGTCTAACAGGCCTGAAAACATATTTATTTTGTAACTATGTGATCTTGGACAGATTAGATAACTTCTTTAAATTTTGCTTTACAAGTCTGCAATGTGGTCTAGATAATCTCTCCTCTACATGGTTACTGTGAGAATTATTTCACATATGAAGAGTTCCTAATACAGTGACTACTACACAGTAGATATTATTTTTCATTGGCCACTTTTCTTGGTGGGAAGATATCTGTTTCTATCTTCTAAAATATTTATCTTTCATAACCTGGAGGCTTGTACAAGTCTTGTATAACCAACTTTCAGCCCTCTGGCTCTGGGAAATATATTCAAATTTCTGAAGTCTTTCATTCTGTCATGAACTTGCAATGCCCTTTCCTCTCTTAGAAAGCAGGGACACTCTGGCATTTACTTTAATACTTTAAACCTTAAGATATTAAGGTTTAATACCTTTGGGCTACATATATATGAGACATTTGATTTTGATGACATGTTTACATTTTTAAGATCATAGAAACTGGTTGTTTCAGATGATTTTAGTTACTGGTATTTTGTTTAACTCCCTAAAGGAGTAAGAGAACCTTTATGAAAACCCCAATTTTTGTCTTTTATCTTTGGCAGAAGGAAGTAAACCAAGTCTGTAAATAATAAAAAGTCAGGGCTGATGTATTGCCAAAATAAGGAATAGATGAGTCACAAAAGCAAAAGGAAAGGTTGAACTAGCCAGATATTTGATGACATTAAAGAATTATTATTTTTAAATGAAATAATGCTATTATGTTTCTGTTAAAGGAAAAGAATCCATGCCTTTTAAAAATTAAAAAGAAAACAGAAATGTTGAAAAGTATTCTTTGAGATGAAGAAATAAAAATATTAAAAATATATTATCCAGAGTAAGGTGACACTGATATAATCAAATAGAGACATTAAAATTCTTGGCTCCCCCTTGGGAGCGGAAGAGGAGCATCCTAGGTTGAATCAGAAATAGTCATTCAAAAAACAGAAGTAATGACAGAAACAAATGAAATGGGGAGAGACACCAATTTGTGAAAACACAGGAAATGTTCTGTCCTTTTACTCCTCCTCTGAGCACTCACCCATCTCCCAGCTACCTCATAAGTCTTCATTCATCCTCGTCCTAACTCTTGGTTTCTTTATTTCCCCGAATCACTGCTTTAATATGGTTTGACTGTGTCCCCACCCAAATCTCATCTTGAGCTGTAGCTCCCATAATTCCCATGTGTGGTGGGAGTGACTCAGTGGGAGGTAATTGAATCATGGGGGTGGGTCTTTCCTGTGCTGTTCTTGTGATAATGCATATGTCTCATGAGAGCTGATGGTTTTAAAAAGGGGAGTTCCCCTACCCAAGCTCTCTTGCCTGCTGCCATGTAAGATGTGACTTTGCTCTTCCTTTGCCTTCCACCATGATTGTGAGGCCTCCCCAGCCATGTTGGACTGTGAGTCAATTAAACCTCTTTCCTTTATAGATTACCCAGTCTCAGTTATGTCTTTATTAGCAGCATGAAAACAGGCTAATACACTGCTCACAGATCTTCTACTCCTACCACTTTCTGCAAAGTTTCAAGAGCTTCTTCATGTTTCTCAATTCCTGCATTCATTCAATTCTGCAGTGCTTTTCTTCAGTGGATCTTGGGGAACATGCAGTTATATTATATCCCTCTCTCTATCTATTCTTCCTCTTTCAATTTCCCGGTCAGCGAATTGAATGTCTATCCACCCAGCTGTATCTATTCTAATCCAGTAGTCTCTCAGATGCATTTATTTCACTACTATTATCTGTTGCCTGAAATATTGAGGTTGTTTCTTAAGTAAGCCATCCTGCCTTCAAGGTTTTGAAGTGAGAGGCAAGATTTGCAGACCATAGAATTCCAACATTTTAAGTCTCATTTACACAAGCAATTTAAAAAATAGTCATAAATAAGAAATCTGTGTAAAGGATGATTAGCAGGAAACAAGTATTGCAGTCTATCAGAAAAAGTCTCAATAAGCCATTCCTTTTTGTAGCTTAAGAAATAAATTCCAGTCATGTGTTCCTTTGTACTTATACTACGAGAGAGTCTCAAATCATACCAGCCATAAAAGTAGAAGATGCAAACACCAGAGCAGATCATGGTTCCGATGGTAAGGAAACAGAGACAATCTCTGATTGTTTTAGTTCCCCATAAATGCAACTAGTTAGCAGACACTTGTTCTTTGATTAACTTTGTGTCTCCAGAATAGTGACACTCTTGGCTTTACAAATAATAAAATCCAGTGGACATTTAAAAAGAAAGATTCCAAGACAAGAATTTGGGTTTTAGAAGTTTATTTAGGAGGCAGCAAAATGAGGAAGTAGGAAAACTGGGGAAAGGTGCCCTCTGAGAGACCATATAGAGTACACCTCAGAATTCCAGGACCTACAAAGCCTGCTACAGAATTTTATCTACCAGCCTCAATCCCTCATTGGTTGATAGTTGCTTATGGGAACATTAATTCTCCAGCACGTTTGCCCTGTACCACTCACGGGTCAGACTGCTCTCTTAGACATAAAGACACGGTGCTTAAGGGATTCACAGTAGTGTACATGGGAAGCTGCAGCTGATCTCCAGGGAGTGCTGAAGGGATGTAGGTGGGGCACCAACTTTGTCTGTTACAAAACAGAAGAAGGGTTAGTCACCAATACATCTCAAGAAGTCACATTAACAGACCTATAAATTGGTTCTAGAGCCAATTCTACATCTTAAATTTACAGAATCTCTGTAAAGGGATGCACAGTGGGAAGAAACCTTTGGTCCATATGATATTAAGTTCTCATCACAAATAGGAAATCTAGCAGAGAGTTATTCCTAACACTTCACAGGCTTCCTCATGGTGAATCAACGCAGAGGTGTGCTGCACCCAGTAAAAACTTCCTACATGCATATTGAGCTTTCTTAAAAGATAATTCAAAATAATCTGGGCCTCTCTTCTCCCTCAGATCTAGTACCCCTTCTCAATACTGCCTTCAAACCCTCCATACAGTAAAATAGCAATTTTTGTTTAGTAAGAAATAATTTTGTGACTTGGGAAGTTGTTATAAGTTATATATATGTATATAAAATATAATTTATATATCATATATGTTATTAAGTCATATATAAAAATATATTAAAAATCAGTCTAAATATTTCAAGGATAATTTTCATCATCTTATAAAACTAAAATATTGTTCTAATTTTTCTCCATTCATGGCATAGGAAAAATTCCAGTGGTCATCCAATAAAATCAGTCAACAAATTTGAAATTTAGTATAAAAGCTCCATATATTACCAGGCACAGTGGCTCATGCCTGTAATCCCAGCACTATGGGAGGCCGAAGTGGGCAGATTGCTTGAACCTAGGAGTTTGAGACCAGCCCGGATGATGTGGTGAAACCCTATCTCTACAAAAAGATACAAAAATTAGCTGGGTATGGCGGTACGTGCCTACAGTCCCAGCTGCTGGGGGGCTGAGGTGGGAGGATCATTTGAGCCCAGGAGGTAGAGGCTGCAGTGAGCCATTATCACACCACTGCACTCCAGCTTGGGTGACAGAGTGAGACACTGTCTCAAAAAGAAAAAAGAAAAAGCCTCACAGACAGCAGGAAGAATGAAACACTATAAAATATTTGCTTTCAATTTATTACTGAAGACTATAAACAGTTTTCAGTGTTTCATAAATATCAAAAATATATACTTTCTTCTGAAAATTGAAATATTAGTCCTTTGTTTATGTAATTTATAAGTGATTTAGCTCATTTTTGCCAATTACTTGTATAATGTACATTTGAAATAATTACTATTGTCTGACTAGAACTGAGCATTTTCTTTCTGTTCACTGGTAGTTCAGCACTCTGTATAATTATATAGACATCTTTCTTTCCTTTTGTATATTTTTTTGGGTGTGTGCCTTATCCTTGCCAGCTTATACTTGCCAGCTATTTGGTGTTCATTTCTATGGAAGCAATTATTACAGATACAGACTACCCGCCACAGCATAGTTCCTATCACTATTTGTTAGCCAAAGTAATTCTTCTACAGGGGTAATTAATATAGAATGGTGGCTGTTAAAACTTGACAAGAAGCCTCCCTGTCGCTAGATGACTTATTATCCAACCCTGATTGGGAAAATGGTATTGATGTAACTTATTCCTGTATAATGGAAATTTGGTGGATCCTGATTTTTATTATGAAATCCAAAGTGTGATAAGTGGCCCCTTTTTAGACCCTAGCAAGTAGGGTGCAGAACCATGATTAAAGTTTAGACAGTCAAAAACTTTTAAAATTTGAGTTAGTCATGTAAAGGTAAAGTTTGGAATTCATTTCCTTGACACTGACCAGTGGTAGTTGTGAGCTACTGACCCAGGTGGGCGTTTGTACACTGGTAGTCCCAAGAGTGGACTGTTCACCAGACTATTCCTGGAATATAGCCTTGGCTGGGTTTCTTGGACTATCTAAAGTCCTGTCATTCCTGAGCTAAATTCTCAAGCTTTCCAATGGCTTCTGTGACCTATCCAGTATCCTTCCAACAATTAACTTTTTACTGCTTAAATCTATCCTAATAATTTTGATGCCTACAAACTAGTACCCTGACTGACATATGCATTTTATTATAATATTAATAATGATGGTGAGTTCTTAAATGTGTGAAATTTGTCTTAGTTTTCAAAGTACTTTCACATGCATTATCATATTTAGCTCCAGGATATCAGATGAAAATAATGAGCCTCAAAGAAGTTAAATGATTTAGCAAGGTCATGCTGCTAGGAAGTGACAGGGCTTGAATTTGGCCTCCTGGCACACTGTCCAGTGTGCTTTGTTTGCTTGTTTTTTATACTGCACTATGCTTCTTTGTCTAGAAATGCAAAACTGGCCACTGATTTCATTCAAAATAAACGTTTCAATTACAAAATCTTGTACAACTCAAATCAGTACTAATTGAACAAAACAATGGATGATTAGCCAAATGTTTTACATTTTTGCTGGCTTTTGCAAAATATATCTGACAAATCCACACTGTCTTTTCTTTTTCTGCACTTTAATTTTTCATCAAGAACCAGAACAATGAAATGAATGCTGATTCAAATTGTAACATTTAGGAATTTTAGAACGGGGGCAACTTAACTTTTCAGAGGCTAAAAGTATAAGGCAATCAGAGCTTTTGAATGTCAGAAGGACTCTCAGGAATACTTGTAACGTGATTGGAAACTTCTAGCACCACCAAGTAACATTAGAGTGCAGTATTAGTTACAGCTTTCTGGGACAAATACTAAGAACGTAGTGCTTCTGAAAAATATTTTTAAGTGTATTTTAAATGCTGATTGCATTAGCCAAGGTTCTCCAAAGAAAGAGAACCAATAGGACATATAGAGAGATATATAAGAGAAGATTTATTATGGTAATTGGCTCATATAATTATGGAGGCTGAGAAGATCCACAATATGCCATCTGTAAGCTGGGGAACCAGGAAAGCACATGGTATAATTTAGTCCAAGTCCAAAAATCTGGGAACTAGGGGAGCCAATGGTGTAACTCCCACTCCCAAGCCAAATGTCTGAGCACCAGGGGAAGAAGAGAGACAGGAGCTGATGATATCAGGCTGGGGTAAGTCCTCAAAAGGCATCATCTAAAGCCTGAGAACCAGCAGCTCTGATGTCTGAGGGCAGGAAAAGACAATGTTCCAGCTCAAGCCAAGCTTCCTCCTCTTTTTTTATTTTATTCAGGTCCTAAACAGATTAGATGATACCTTCTCACATCAGTGAGGGAAGATCTTTTTTACCCAGTCTGCTAATTCAAATGCTAATCACTTCTGGTAACAACTTTTACAGACACATCCAGAAATACTGTTTTACCAGCTATCTGGGCTTACACTAGTCACATTGACAAATACAATTAAGTAGCATCACGTGGCTAAAATATAATTACTTTTTATATAAGTACTTGTACACATGTGTCTATTCTTCCTAATATTCTCTACTTACCCCCAAGATTGAATAAAAATATAAGTAATTGCTTAATTGCTTAATAATTAATAGCTTAATAATTAAATATAATAAAAAATATATTAATCTCCTCATAGTAACTACCCTGCAAGTCAGCCTTGGTCGAACATCATCCCTATCAGACCTCTGAAGGTTTTAACCTTCAAGGAAGATTATTAAATCTTAAAAAACACACAATCAGTATGGGGCAGGGAAGAGGAAGTTGCATTTCTGTTTTGCACTGGGCTTTGTTCTAGGTGACATGTCTTGGTGTATTAGTTAGACATTAGCATGTGGGATGTCTATTAAGGAGTCATTGTATGTGATAAACACCTATTGGAAAAACAAAACAGAATTTGGCACAGAGAGAAGCCAAACTGCATGTAAGTCTCAGTGAAGGCTTCAGCTGATCCTGAGGGGAGTACAGAGGATGAGAGAACCCATTGGAACTGTTATAAATTTGGTTGAAAGGACCAAGTCTTTATACTCACACCTCTGTCAGTCATTGGATTTGGGCTGCCCCAGGAAGCAGGTGTGACTTGGGGTGAAAGTCTCTTCAACAGAGGTAGTACCTGAAGGGGATGACAGCTGAGGGCTGTCTGTTGCAGCATCCTGGCAGTTGGTATACTAAAATTTTCATTTCTGAAAAAGCTTCTAGATAATGCATTGTAGTGTCCACCACATAGTGTGTCAGCTGCTATTGAGAGGCAAAATATGTCAAGACCTGAGACTTGACCATTGGTGGAAGTCACTGGTGTACTCTTTTTCTTAATGATGGATGCTTACAACATTTGTGTTAAGTTTCAGGCCATAAAAAAATGTGTAGCTCTTCTTACTTGATAGTGAATAAACCATTTTCTGGATCTTCTCCCTGGCTCAACTGGATCAAAAACTATTTTCTCACTGTAGCCTAAGGAATGTCACCTACTGATTTCCTTTGTCCTGGCTTATATCTCACATTTAGAGTTAGAAGTAGAATTCATTTCCCCTAAAACATTTATATTGTGCAGGGGAAGTGTGGAAACTTGAATGAAAATAGGGGCATTGTCAAGAGAGGGGAAAGCATATATTGGGGAACTAATCATAATGACTAACAATGGATACCGCATTACTTAGTTTCTGTGTTCATTTGGAATAATTGATTTCACTAATTTATGCAACAAATCTTTGTTTAGACCAGGTCGCGTTGCTCACTCCTGTAATCCCAGCACTTTGGGAGGCCAAGGAGGGAAGATTGTTTGAGCTCAGGAGTTTGAGACCAGCCTGGGCAACACAGTGGGACCCCATCTCTACAAAAAATAAGAATTAGCCAGGCATGGTGGTGCATGCATGTAGTCCCAGCCTGCAAGGCTGAGGTGGGAGGACCCCTTGAGCCTCGGGGGATGAGACTACAGTGAGCTATAATTGCACCACTGTAATCCAGCCTGGGTGACAGATTGAGACCCTGTCTCAAAAGAAAAAAAAATTATTGTTAACTTTAGGCCAGGTACCAAGGATTCAGCTGCATACTAGACATAACGTGTCTATGCTCCTTGATTTAGTGTTTTCCAGAGGGAGGAAGAAAAAACAAATAACAAGTCTTATAGATTGTGTTAATTGCACTTAAGCAAACAAAGACAACAATATGACTGACATTAAGAGACGATGTTTCAGAAATGTGATCAGAGAGGATTTCATTAGAAAGTGATATTTTCAGCAACCCTGTATTATTTTGCTTTCTTTCTTTCTTTCTTTTTTTTTTTTTTTTGAGATGGAGTTAGGTTCAAGTGATTCTTCTGCCTCAGCCTCCTGAGTAGCTGGGATTACAGGCATGCACCACCACACCTGGCTAATTTTGTATTTTTAGGAGAGACGGGGTTTCTCTATGTTGGTCAGGCTAGTCTCGAACTCCTGACCTCAGGTGATCCGCCCACCTCGGCCTCCCAGAGTGCTGGGATTACAGGCGTGAGCCACCGCACCTGGCCTTTTATTTACTGTTAAAAAAAAAGGAGTAAAAGAGAGCAAAAGAAGAAGTAAGGAGGGAGTGAAGGAGGAAAAGTATTGAAGAACAAAAGATTTACTAAAGATTGCACACTAGATTATTCTTTTATGCTGCTGTTGTTACTTTGGAGGAAATTAGAATATGCTCCATTCTACTGCCATGAAAATCTAAAAATCTTATACCTGTCTCAGAGAAAGGCCAGAGAAAATTGCTATATATAAAACTACTAGATTTAAATGGCTATCAATGTTCTTGAAACTTTAATTAGCCTGAGTGGTACTTAAAGCCATGCAGTCAGGAAGGAAGATGGTGGGGAGGGAAGAGAAGTGGATTATGCAGCTGTTTCAGGGGCATACACTTCCACAAAAATATTATGCAGAGCCCAGCATGAAATAGATTCTTAGCATATGCTTATTGAGTAAACATATGCATATTAAAAATTTTCTATATAAATAGCACTAACAAACATATTGACTACCTACTCAGTATAATGCCTTCTCCCACGTTTTTGTAATTGAAAAGAAACTGTATGATTAACAGTGATAACTGATTCTTAGAGAACAAATTTATACACTGAGATCACATAAGAATGCACAAGGAGCAGTGTATGAAATCTTAAATGAACAAGCAATGCCATGAAATTGCTCCTTTGGTGCTAAAAACCAAACTTATTGGTTTGGGGAAATGGAGATGATATTGTCTAGTTTATTTGGTGTCATTATGTATTATAAAATCCATTCCAATTTAGTTACATCTGAAAATTCATTGTAATAAACTTTATTTACTCCACTAACTCAGATGAAAATTATGTTTTAGGAAGTAGAAACAGTAGTAGTTTGGGTAGAGAATAAAAAAATGTATTCTAGAAGTCGGTGAGCACATAGATAGCTAGTAGAGGACTGCATGGGAGCTAATTTCCAAATATGGTCCCCAAATGAATCAAGGTTCTTCATAATTTCCTTCTTCTATGGCCCCTTCCACAGTGATTGGAATTGGCCTTGTATAATCAAGAGAATACAGCAGAAGTGATGCTGAGTGACATTTGAGATTAGGTCATGTCAAGCCTTGCAACTTTCACTTGAGTTTCTTAAAATGCTCCTTCTGGAAGTCAGTGCCATGAAAGTATTCCAGCTACTGTGAGACTCCTACACTCTTCAGAGAGGCCACTTAGACAAAAAGAGATGCTTGACTCCACTCAGCTATTTCAATCCACGCATCACATGCAAGAAAATAAGCTATCTTGATTTCTTTGAACTCTATTAGACCCCATAGAGGAGAATAGAAAAACCAAGTTGACCTCTAGAACTAAAGCGCTGGAAGTGGCCCCAGTGATGCCATGCCAATCATCTCCAGTCATTTCAGCCACTCCAGCTGAGGCCCAAACTTGCAGGAAGAGGGAAAAGCCATCCCACCATGCCCTGACAAAATACCTGAACCACAGAATGAACATACATATAAATTGTTGCTATTTAACCTGCTAAAAGTTTGGAATGGTTTGTTACTCAGGAATATATACCAGAACCAAAATTTGGTACCAGAGGCAGGTTTTTTTTTTGTTGTTAACAAAAATGCAAAGCATGTGCCTTTGAATTTGGGAGCTTGTGTTGAGTGGAGGAGTAAAGGATCCCAAGTAGACTGTGAGAGTGGAAAAAGAATGCAGAAAAAGTGTTATTGGAGGCTGCAGAAAAGATAAACTGTGTAATATTGTGGTAGAAAATTTAGAAAAATTGCTGACAGCTGCAATGGAAATGTGGTGGTTTTAGAATATTTCCACAAATTCTTTGATACTCCCCCTTTTAAGAAGTGGAGCCTAATTTCCCTCCTTGAGTGTAGGCTGAATTTAGTGAGTTGCTGCTAATGAAAAAGTGAAATAAAAATGTATGACTTCAAAGAGTAGGTTATAAAAGAAACTGCAGCTTCTTACTTGCCCTCTCTTTGGTAGACTGTCAAAAGATGCCTATTATGCTGGGAGGACTCCCTGACTACCCTGTGAAACCAACACCTTCTGCCAGCAGCCCATGCAGAACTGAGGAGTTCTGCCAATAGTGACATGACTCAGCACCTAGATTGTTGATCCTCCAGCTTCAGGCGTGTTGACAGTTGGCCACAAACCCCACTGACATCTTGATTGCAGATTCATGAAGAGTCTTGAGCCAGAAGCATCCAGCTAAGGCACTTCCAGATTCTTGATTCTCAGAAACTATGTGAGAAAATAATTTTTGTGTTGTTTTATCTTAAGATGCTAAATTTCAAGGTAATTTTTTACACGGCAATAATAATATAGGGGGCACAGAAAATAAAAATGAGCCTATCAACTAGAGGATCTTGTTTAGCAGACATTAAGGCAGAATGTTGAGAGAGCCAGCTGGTTCCTTTTAGTTGTGTATAATGAACTATGGCTATAGAGAGATGAGATAAAGAAGGAACTGGTCACTTTTTAAGCTGAAATTTGAGGATACATGAAAGAGCCAGGATTAGCTTCAGATTACAAAAGATTCTCAGTTTAAGTAACAGACTCAAAACAAGGTCAAATACAGCATCTTGCCAGTAAAATGTGACCACAGAGCCATAATGGGATGAAATTTTCAGGAAGAGGATAAGTATAATTTTCAAGTGTATGGGATGTGGGTTGTTGTGGTCAGAGAGCTGATGGTAAAAGAGTGCATTGTCCCAAAGATGAGAGCAATAGTATCTCTAAACCCACGTGCTTCTTCTGCAGTGTAACCTTCCTAATTCTACTTCAGAGAGGACATTTATTTCTCCACCTTCTGGAATCTGGGTTGACAATGCAACTACCATGACAAAATGAAAGCAGTGGAAGTAATGCTGACCTTGTGCTGACCTTGTCATGGGTATAGCCCTTGGATGGCTAGGCAGTTTCCATTTTCTGTCTCTGAGAAGCCAGACACCATGTAAGAAATGTGACTATCCTGAGACCACCACACTGTACAAAATACAAGCTATATATGGAGGTCCTGCAGGATGGCACATCATGTACAGAGAGACAGAGCGGCTCAAAGCCACTGAGGTATCCATCATGTGAATAAAGAACCTATCTTGGAAGTGGATGTTCTTCCAGTCTTTTTAGTCTGTTGCATGCTGCTATAATAGAACACCAGAAACTGAATAATTTATGAACAATAGAAGTTTATGTGGTTCACAGTCCTGGAGGCTGGGAATTCCAAGATTAAGAGGACATTTATTACAGAAGACATCACATGTGCAAAAGGTGTCATAAAGGCAAGAGAGTATGCAAGGGAGGGCAACAGGGGGCCAAACTCTCTTTTATAATAAACCTACTATGATAAGAACATTAATGCATTTATGAGAGCAGAGCCCCCATGACCTAAATACCTCCCATTAGGGCACCACCTCCCCAAACTATTACACTGGGGATTAAATTTCCAACACATGAACTTGGAGGACATATTCAAACCATAGCGAGCCCCAACTGACATGCACCACCCACCTAAGATTATTTCTATGTCATGATAAAAATAAAATGGTTCTTTTAAAATACTAAATTTGGTGTGATTTGTTCTATACCAATAAATTAGAACTCTAATTCTGCATGACTCACTTGAACACTGCTCTATCAAAAAGCACAAAGCAAAGCTAGTGACTTGGTTCTGACAAATGAAATACAGTAAAAGGAATGAGATGTCACTTTGGAGACTAGGCTATTAAAAGACTATGATTTCTATCTCGGTGCACTCTCTCACTCTCATTCCCTCTCTTTAAGGGAAGCCGGGAAGCTGGCTGTCATGCTGTGAAGCGGCCCTGGAAAGCTGGAATCCAACTTCCATATCATGATGACACTCAGGCAGCCTATCAGGAAGGAAGCCCATATAGGAAAAAATGAGGACTGCTGGCCACCATATTAAGCTTGGGAGACTGTCTGAGGTCTGACAATAGTCACATAAGTGAATTGGGAAATGGACCCTCCCCTAGTTGGGCCTCAAGATAATTGAACTGCAGTGGAAAGCTTGAATGCAATCTTTTGAGAGATGTTGAGGGAAAACCACCCAAACACATTACTGCCAGATTACTGACCAATAGAATCGATGAAATAGTAAATGTTTGTTGTTTTAATCCACTCATTTCAAAGTAATTTATTATGCACCAATAGATAACTAATGCAACTAATACAATCCTCTTCTACTCTTCTTAGTTTTCTTTTTTTCCTTCTGTTGAGAAGCCTGTTCTCTAATTGTTTCTCTCTCTCTCTCTCTTTTTTTTTTTTTTTTTTTTTTTTTGAGACACAGTCTTACTCTATTGCCCAGGCTGGAGTGCAGTGGCGCAATCTCGGCTCACTGCAACCTCTGCCTCCTGGGTTCAAGCCATTCTCCTGCCTCAGCCTTCCGAGTAGCTGGGACTACAGGCGCGCGCCACCACGCCCAGATAATTTTTTGTAATTTTAGTAGAGATGGGTTTCACCGTGTTGGCCAGGATGGTCTCTATCTCTTGACCTCATGATCTGCCCGTTTTGGCCTCCCAAAATGCTGGGATTACAGGCGTGAGCCACGCGCCCGGCCTGTTTCTCTTTTTATTTTATCTTTTTCTCTGCCTAAGATGTTTATCTTTTTAAAATTCTTTATACTTTTTAAAATCCTTAGCTTTATACTCTGATGTATTGGGTCAAATTTTCATTGTATGTATTATTCTTCTTGAGGTTCACAGTTATTCTACAACTTTTTTTTATAACTTTCCAATAATTTGGAAATTGAAGCCATATCTTTCCACATATTGCTTCTATACCATTCTTTCTTCTCTTTCTGAGACTCCAATTACAAACATGATAAAACTTCTCAGTATGTCCCTCAGGATTTTTATGCTGTCTTGTGCATTCTTCATTATTTTAATTCTCTGTACATTTAAAAATTTTTAACACTTCTGGGTACATGGTAGGTGTACACATTTATGGGGTACATGAGATATTTTGATAAAGGCATAAAATGTGTACTAATCACATCAGGATAAACAGGGCATCCATCACTTTCAACATTTATCCTTTGTGGCTGGGCACAGCGGCTCATGCCTGTAATCCCAGCAGTTTAGGAGGCTGAGGTGGATGAATCATGAGGTCAGGAGTTCGAGGCCCGCCTGGCCAACATGGCAAAACCTGGTCTCTACTAAAAAATACAAAAATTAGCCAGGTGTGGTGGCAGGCACCTGTAATCCCAGCTATTCGGGAGGCTGAGGCAGGAGAATCACTTGAACCCAGGAGGCAGAGGTTGCAGTGAGCCAAGATTGTGCCACTGCACTCCAGCCTGGGCAACAAGAGCAAGACTCTGTCTCGAAAATAAATAAATAAATAAATAAATAAATAAATAATTTATCCTTTATGTTGAAACGATCTAATTAGACTCTTTTAGTTATTTTTAAATGCACGATTAAATTATTATTGACTATAGTCACCCTGTTGTGCTAGCAAATACTAGATACTGTTTACTCTTTTTAACTATTGTTTTTTACCCATTAATCATCTCCACTTCCTCCTCATCACTCCACCATTCTTCCCAGCCTCTAGTAACCATTATACTCTCTATCTCCATGAATTTAACTTTTAACAACATAGATGGAACTGGAGGTCATTATGCGTGAAATTAGCTATTTTTTGTACCCATTAAAAATCCCCACCTCCCCCGACATCTGGTAACTATCCTTCTACACTATATTCATGAATTCAGTTGTTTTGATTTTTAGGTTCCACAAATATGTGAGAATGTGCAATATTTGTCTTTCTGTGCTTAGCTTATTTGACTTATAATGACCTCCAGTACCATCCATGTTGCTGTAAATGACAGGATCTCATTCTTTTTATGGCTGAATAATACTCCACTCTGTATATATACCACAATTTAAAAAATCTATTCATCTGTTGATGGATACTTAGGTTGCTTCCAAATCTTGGCTATTGTGGATAGTGCTGAAGAAATCATGGGAGTGCAAATATCTCTTTGGTATACTTGATTTCCAGTCTTTTGGGTATATACCAAGCAGTGGAATTACTGCATCATAGGATAGCTCTATTTTTAGTTTTTCAAGGAATGTCTAAATTCCTCTCCATAGTTGTACTAATTTATATTCCCACCAACAGTGTTTGAGGGTTCCCTTTTTTCCATGTCCTTGTCAGCATTTGTTATTGCCTGACTTTTGGATAAGAGCCATTTTAGCTGTATTAAGATGATATATCATTGTAGTTTTTATTTGTATTTCTGGAATAATTAATGATGTTGAGCATCTTTTCATATACTTGTTTGCCATTTTATGTCTTCTTTTGAAAAATGTCTATTCAGATCTTTCACCCATTTTTTAACTGGATTATTTGATTTTTTTCCTTTAGAGTTGTTTGATCTCCTTATATACTCTGGTTATTAATCCCTTCTCAGATGAGTAGTTTGCAAATATTTTCTCCCATTCTATGGGTTGTCTCTTCACTATGCTGATTGTTTCTTTTGCTATGCAGAAGCTTTTTAACTTGATGTGATCCCATTTGTTCATTTTTGCTTTGGTTGCCTATACTTATTGGGTATTACTCAAAAAACCTTTGCCCAGTCCAATGTCCTGAAGAGTTTCCCCTGTGGTTTATTTTAGTAGTTTTATATTTGATGTGTTTGATTTAAGTTTTTAAACCATTTTTATTTTATTATTTATTTATTTATTTATTTTTTGAGACAGAGTCTCACTCTGTCCCCCAGGCTGGAGTGCAGTGGCGCGATCTCAGCTCACTGCAAGCTCTGCCTCCCGGGTTAACCCCATTCTCCTGCCTCAGCCTCCTGAATAGCTGGGACTGCAGGTGCCCGCCACCACACCTGGCTAATTTTTTGTATTTTTAGTAGAGACGGGGTTTCACCATGTTAGTCAGGATGGTCTCAATCTCCTGACCCCATGATCTGCCTGCCTCGGCCTCCCAAAGTGCTGGGATTACAGGCCTGAGCCACCAGGCCCAGCCTGATTTTTGTCTATGGTAAGAGATATGGGTCTAGTTTCATTCTTCTGCATATGGATATCCGGTTTCTTCAGCACTATTTAATAAAGAGATTCCCCCCCGCCCAAAGTACGCTCTTGGCATCTTAGTTGAAAATGAGTTCACTGTAGATGTATGAATTTTTTTCTGGGCTCTGTTTTCTGTTCTATTGGTCTATGTGCTTGTTTTCATGCCAGTACCGTGCTGCTTTCATTACTGTAACCATCCAGTATACTTTAAAGTCAGGTAATGTGATTCCTCCAGTTTTGTTATTTTTGCTGAGGATAGCTTTTGCTATTCTGGGCATTTTGTGGATCCATATAAATTGTAATTTTTTTTAATTTCTACAAAAAATGTCATTGGTATTTTGATAGAAATTGCATTATATCTGTAGATTGCTTTGGAAAGTATGGATATTTTAACAATATTTATTCTTCCTACCTGTAAACATGGAATACCTATCCATTTTTTTGTGTCCTCACTAATTTATTGCATTAATGTTTTGTAGTTTTCATTATACAAACCTTTCACTTCTTTGGTTAAGTTTACTCCTACATATTTTATTTCTAGCTATTGTAAATGGGATTGCTTTTTTGATTGTTTTTTCATATTCTTGGCTGTTAGCATATAGAAATGCTACTGATTTTTGTATGTTCATTTTGTATTCTGAAACTTTACTGACTTTGTTTATTACTTTTAGTTTTTTGGTATAGTCTTTTAGGTATGTTCAAAAATAAAATTATATCATCTGCAAAAAAAGGATAATGTGACTTTTTCCTTTCTAATCTGGATGCCCTTTATTTTTTTCTCTTGTCTGATTGCTCTAGCTAGGACTTCTAGTACAGTGTTGAATACTAGTGGTGAATGTGGGCATTTTTGTTGTGTTCCAGAGCTTAGAGAAAAAACTTTCATTTTTTTCTTCATTCAGTATGATACTAGCTGTGGGTCTGTCATATATGGCTTTTATGGTATTGAGGTGTGATCCTTCTAGATCCAGTTTTTTGAGGGTTTTTTAAATCATAAAAGGGTGTTAAATTTTATCAAATACTTTTTAGCATCAGTTGAAATTATCGTATGGTTTTGTCCTTCATGTTGTTGATATGATGTATCACATTGATTGATTTACATGTGTTGAACCATCCCTGCATCCCTAGGACAAATCCCACTTAGTCATGATAAATGATCTTTTTAAAGTATTAGTGTATTCTGTTTGGTATTTTGTTGAGGATTTTTGCAACAATGTTCATCATGAATATTGGCCTATTGTTTTCTGTTTCTGATGTGTCTTTGTCTAATTTTGGTATCAGAGTAATGTTGTCCTCACATAATGAATTTGGAAGTCTTCCCTCCTCCACTATTTTTCAAAATAGTTTGAGTAGAATTGGTATTGACTCTTTAAATGTTTGGTAAAATTCAGCAGTGAAGTCATCAGGTCCCAGTGTTTTTGCTGGGAGATTGTTTATTATGGCTTTGATCGCATTACTTATTATTGGTCTATTCAAGTTTTTAATTTATTCCTGGTTCAATCTTGGTAGGTTGTATGTGTCTAGGAACTTATCCACTTATTCTAAGTTTGTCAATTAATTGGTATATTGTTGCTCATAGTAGCCACTCATGATTCTTCGAATTTCAGTGGTATTGGTTGTAGTGTTTCCTTTTCATATCTGATTTTGAGTCTTCTCTATTTTTTAGTTAGTTTAGCTAAAGGTTTGTCAATTTTGTCTTTTCAAAATCTTTTGTATTATTTTCTTCATTTCAATGTATTTATGTTCTGATCTTTATTACTTCTTTTCTTCTACTAATTTTGGGTTTAGTTTGCTCTTGATTTTCTATTTCTTTAAGATGCATTGTTAGGTTGTTTATTTGAAGTTTTTCTTCTTGTTTGATGTAGGCATTTATAGCTAAAAGCTTCCCTTCTAGTACTGCTTTCCCTATATCCGACAAGTTTTGGGATGTCATATTTCCATTATCATTTGTTTCAAGAAATCTTTCAATTCCATTCTTAATTTCTTCATTTACTCTGGTCATTCAGGAGCACATTATTTAATTACCATGTGTTTTTACAGTTTCTGCAGTTCCTCTTTCCATTGATTTCAATTTTTATTCCATTGTGGTCAAAGAAGATTCTTGATATTATTTAAATTACAAAAAATGTTTTAAGCTTGGTTTGTGACCCAACATGTGGTCTGTTCTTGAAAAAGATCGATGTGCTGGGGAGAAGAATGTGTATTCTCTAGCCATTGGATGAAATTTTCTCTAAATATATATTAGGTCCATTTGGTCTATAGTGCAGATTAAGTCTGATATTTCTTTGCGATTTTCTGTCAGGATCATCTGTTCAATGCTGAAATGAAGTCTCCAGCTATTGGGGTCTAACTCTCTTTTTAGCTTTAATAATATTTGCTTTATATATCTGGGTGTTCCAGTGTTGGGAGCATATATATTTATAATTGTTACATCTTCTTCCTGAATTGACCCCCTTTATCATTATATAATGACCTTTATTCTTATGGTATTTTTTTCTTGGAATCATTTCATCTGATATATGTATAGCTACTTCTCTTTTTTTAGCTTTATTGGGGTGGAATGTCTCTTCCATCCCTTTATTTAGTCCATTTACATTCAGTGTTATTATTGATAACTAAGGACTTACTCCTGACATTTTTAATTTGTTTTCTGATTGTTTTGTGGTCTCCTCTTCGTTATTTTCTTCCTTCTTGTCTTCCTTTTAGTGAAGGTGATTTTTTTCTGGCGGTAAGATTTAATTCTGTATTTTTTATTTTTCGTGTATCTGTTGTATGTTTTTTGATTTGAGGATTTCCATGAGGCTTGCAAATACTGTTTTCTAACCCATTATTTCAAGCCGATAAATCCCTCAGATTTCATCTGTCTGGAAAAATATTTATTTCTCCTTCATGTTTGAAGGATATTTTCACCAGATGTATTATTCTTCAGTAAATGTTCTTTTCCTTCAGCACTTTAAATATGTCATGCCCCTCTCTCATGGCCTGTAAAGCTTCCACTGTGTTGAGGTATGTTTCTTCTATATCCAGTTTTTTAAGGGTTTTTATCATGAAAAGGTGTTGAATTTTATCAAATGCTTTTCAGCATCTGTTGAAATAATCATATTTTTTTCTCCATACCATTGATAATGATGTATCGCATTGATTGATTTCCAGCTGCTGCCAGATGTATTGGATCCCAATTGTGTGTTACTTGTTTCTTTTCTCTTGCTGCATTTATAATTACTTCATTATTCTTGCCCTTAGGAGTTTGATTATTAAATGCCTTGAGGTAGTTTTTAAGTTAAATCTGCTTGGTGTTCTATAACCTTCTTTTAACTGAATATTGACATTTTCCTTTAGGTTTGGGAAGTTCTCTGTGATTATCTCTTTGAATAAACTTACATCACTAGCTCTCTCACTACTTCTTCTTTAAGGCCATTAATTGTTAGATTTGCCCTTTTGAGCCTTTTAATGTATCTTGCAGGCATGCTTCATTCCTATTTGTGCTTTTTTCTTTTGTCTCCTCCGACTATATATTTTCAAATAGCCTGTCTTCAAACTCACTAATTCTTTCTTCTGTTTGATCAATACTGCTCTTAAGAGACTCTGATGCATTCTTCAGTATGTCAATTACATTTTTCAACCACAGAATTTCTGCTCGAGTGTCTTCAATTATTTCAATCTCTTTATTAAATCTATGTGATATGATTCTGAATTGTTTCTCTGTGTTATTTTGAATGTTTTTGAGTTTCCTTAAAACAGCTATTTTGAATTCTCTGTCTGAAAAATCACATACCTCTGTCTTTCTGGGATTGATTCCTGGTACCTTATTTAGTTTGCTTGATGAGGCCATGTTTTCCTAGATGGTCTTGATGCTTTTGAAAATTTTTTAGTGTTTGGGTATTGAAGAGTTAGATATTTATTGTAGTCTTTGTCATTTTGGCTGGTTTGTTCCCGTCTCTTGGGAAGGCTTTGCAGGTATTTGAAGGGACTTTGGTGCTGTGATCTAAGTTTCCAACTATTCCAACCATATCTGACTTACGGGAAACACAAGCCAAGTAATGTCGTGGCTCTTGAAGACTTGTTGAGGTACCACCTTGGTGGTCTTGATAAGATCTGGAAGAATCCTCTGGATTACCAGGCAGAGAATCTCATTCTCTTCCCTTACTTTCTCACAAACAGTTGCTCTCTGTGCTGCACTGCCTAGAGCTGGGGATGTGGTGGCACAAACACCCCTGTGGCCACCACCGCTGGGACAGCGCTGGGTCATACGTGAAGCCAGCACAGGATTGGGTTTCACCCAAGGTTTGCAGTAACCACTACCTGGCTGCTGCCTATGCTCACTCAAGGCCCTAGGGCTCTATATTCAGCATGTGGTGAAGCCAGCTTTTCTCTTTGCAGATATAGCCACATTCATATCTTTCCCTTTTGAGTGGCAAATTCCCTAGGCCCCTAGGTGGGTCCCAAGATGCCATGTGGAGGCCAGGGACTGGAGTCAAAAACCTTACAAACCCACCTGGTGCTCCATCCTATAGAGGCTGAGCTAGTACCCAAACCACCAGATGAAGTCCTTCCCACTATTCTCTCCCCTTTCCACAGGCAGAAGCTTATCTGCTCTTGTCCACCACCACCACAGGCCCACGCGGAGTACTGCCAGGCTACTGCTGATCTTCACTTAAGGCCCAAGGGCTCCTTAATCAGCTTGTGGTGAATACTGCCAGGCCCAGATCTCACCCTTCAGGCAAGTGGGCCCCCCTCTGACTCACAGCAGGTCCAGAAATACCATCCAAGAGCAAAGGCTTGGAATTGGGACACCAAGATCCTGCTTGGTGTTCTACCTGACTGTGGCCAAGCTGATAACAAAGCTGCAAGGCAAAGTCCACTTTACTCTTCCCTCTGCTTTTCTCAAGCAAAAAGGAATTTCTCACTGTGGCCACTGCAGCTGGGAATGTGATGGGTTTCACCTTAAGCCAGCACATCTCACCATCTCACCCAAGGCCTACAGTGTGTGCTCTCTGGCTACTACTGCTGATTGTTCAGGACCCAAGGGCTCTTTATTCAGCAGGTGATAAATGCTGCCAGGACTTTGCCCTTCCCTTTAAGGCAGCAGGTTTTCTTCTTTCCCAGGGTGTATTTAGAAATGTCATTTTGGAGCTAGGGCCTCAAACGGAAGCCTCATGACTCTGCCCAGTACCATATCCTACTGTGGCTGAATTGATATCCAAATTGCTTAAAAATGCCCTCTTTACTCTTCCCTCTCCTCTCCTTAAGCAGAAAGAAGGAGTCTCTTTTGGAGCTGCAAGCTGTGCTCCTGGGGTTTGGAGAGGGATGGTACAAACACTTCCTTGGCTGCCCTGGCTGGTGTCTCACTAGGTCACATGTCTCCCAAGTCCACTGCCTCTGACCCCAGCACAGTACTAGAACTTGCCTAGAAATTGCAGTCCTGGTGACCCAGATGGCTTTTCAACTTTATTTTTGGGCCCCAGATCATTTTCGTCTGTAGTAGCCAGGCTTGCTAGAATTCAAATTCCAACCAGTGGGACAGATGACTCTTGTCCGGCTCAGGCTGCTCTAAATGCTCCCTCGGTGGGTGTTGGGTGAGTTCTGTTCAGGGCTGCTTTCCACTGTGGCAGGGAAGAACTGAGTTCCAATGCAATGTCCCACAGTCACTGCATTATCAATTCCCCAAGTTCGCAGATTCTCCATGTCATGCGGCCATTGCTGAGGCATGGGGGAGGGATGGTACTGACAATTCAAGACTGTCTTTCCTACCTCACCAGTACCTCTTTCAGTGATATCAAGTTAAAACCAGACACTGTGATCACTCACCTGATATTTGGCTTTGTGAAGGTGCTTTTTTGTATAGATCATTGTTAAATTTGGTGTTCTTGCAGGGAGGACACTTGGAGGAGGCTTCTATTCAGCCATTTTGTATCACGTCCCTCCTCTCTTCCTCTTTTTTTATCCAGTATTCTGACCTGTATTTAATTTTACTAATGATTTTTCAGATATCTGTAATGTATTGTAAAACATTCTTAATTTTTGTTACTGTTTCTCTTTTCGGTGTCTAGAATTCCATATTTTAAAATACTATTTATTTTCAAAAGCTTTCCATTATATATATTTCTTTGAAAATATTCAAGATAGTTATATGAAAGTCATTATGTAACTCCATTTTGTGAAAAGCATTCAGGATATTATTTTAAAGGCATTGTATAACTAAATCCTTTGTGTATCTGATTTTATTATTAATATTTTACTTAATTAAAAATGATAATTTGCTTTTTCCTATGTGCTTGATCATTTTAGGCTTAGTAATATAAATTCTATACAGTTAAGCCTAGTATTATATCTTCCCTTCCTCCAAAGGCATGTATATGTAGGGGAAATAATAACCTTCCATCAACTTAATCTAATAATAAGAAGCAAGATAACTTTAAGTTGGAGTTAATTACCCTGTGAAAGCTAGACCATTTTCAAGTCACTCTTCCTCCCTGAGTATAATCCTAGTTGTGGGGTGTTTACCAGCACTGATTCCTGGGCAGGCTCTGGACTCTGGTTTTGTCATTCCAAGCCTTGCTCTATTTTCAAAAGCTCTGCTTAGCTTTTCAATCTCTCTCTTGCCTTTTGGCAATTTTCAAATACCAGGTTCCTCTTTCTGTATTTTTTTCTTTTTTTTTTGTTTCCAAGTCATTGTATTCATAATTTTTCAGTGTCTTCTTACCTTTGTGATGCCTTCAAGCATATGTCTACAAGATTTTTTGATCAGTTTTTCTATTCGTTCATGGTAGGAGGTTAGTTCACATATTCTAGTCCACTATGTCAGAAATGGACATCTCAGACTGATTTTTTGCCTCTCAAGTGACAGAGTATTTACTTTGGAGGGGAGGAGCTACTCTTGTTTTAGGGGAGGGAAAAACACAACTATGTGTGTGTGTGTGTGTGTGTGTGTGTGTGTGTGTATTTGGTTTCAGCAAAGATTCTCTTTTGAAAAGGAGAGATGTTGTGCATACCTGTTGTCCCTATATTTATTTTTTATCTATTGTGACATACCACCGTCTTCATTAAATATTTGTTAAACTATATATCCTAACCACATTTTGTGAAATGATGATGTAGATGCAGCTTCTGTACCATATAAGGATGACAGTAGCCATTTATGATACAGTAAGGGGTGACCTGCTGATATAGTTTGTTATTTGTTCCTGTACAAATCTCAGGTTGAAATGTAATCCCTAGCATTGGAGGTGGAACCTGGTGAAAGGTACTTGGGTCATGGGGGAGGATCCCTCATGGTTTGGTGCTGTCCTCACAATAGTAATTTCTCACAAGATGTGGTTGTTTAAAGTGTGGCATCTCCCCACTCCACTCTCTCTCTTGCTTCTGTTTTTTCCACATGACATGCCTGCTCCTGCTTTGCCTTCTGCCACGAATAAAATCTCCCTGAGGCCTCCCCAGAAGCCAAGCAGATGCCTGCCTCATGCTTCCTGTACAGCTTGCAGAACCATGAGCCAATTAAACCTCTATTCTTTATAAGTTAGCCAGTCTCAGGTATTTCTTTATAGCAATGGAAGAACAGCCTAACACACCTGCTTTGGGAAAATGAATTTGTAATGATGTTTCTCTGTCCAAATTTAGAACCATGTATATAAAAAGGTATTAGGACAGAAATACTGTTGGACTGAGGGTAATAGACTTTATTCAATGCTAAAAAGCTGTCATCAGAGATATACTATTCAGGATATACTCATATATACACTTCTTAGCATTATTTTTGTTTGTTTTTCTCAGTGAGGATGTGGCCTTGATGACAACTGAGTATGGTTCAAGCACCAGGAGATCTTAAAGTTTGTAAATATCTCCTTGAAAAGGAGTCCATGGATTCTGCATGAATTCTTTTTGAATAATAATTAAATCAATAGATAAATTTTAGACTAAAATAGAAACTCTTTGCATACCAAATATCTTTTTCTTGCCAAATACTATAGACAATTCTCAAACTTTTGCCTGATTAAAGTCTCTGTGACACTGAGTCTGAAAGAGATTGTTTCACTTGGTTTTTATTATACCTCATTCTCTTATTTTTCTCTTCTCTCTCTGCCTACTCCTTCTCAATCCCCCTTGCTAGTGTGTACTCTTATGCTCCCATGCCTCAAGCTTTGGATTTCAGTGCTCTTTGTTTCTCTAACTGTACTCCCTCCTTGAGTAATTTTATTCTGTCTCATGGTTTGAATTCCAAGAAATCTAATTCAAATCTATCCAAAAATTCTAAAATCTAATTGAAATCTATCTAAACCTTTCCTTTTAACCACAGATTTATATATTTTGCTCACTGGGCATGTAAAAAGACATCTCAAACACAAATGGCCAAAACTCAAACACAAATGGCCAAAACTGAACCATGTCTTTGTATACATTCTTAATTCTTACCAAAATTATTCCTCCCAAAGTATTCTCCATCTCAGTGAGTATTTCCATTACCTGTTTAGTTTCATATGCCTATGGATCACCCTCAATTTATTTCTGCTTTGAAGATACCCCATTCAATTAATCTTTGCCATTACTTTGCTTTATTTCCTTCTATTTTGATTGAATCTAATAAACTCTACACATTCTTACCACCTCTACTGCCACTACCATAATTCACATCTCCATCACTTATTTTTATTGTGTACAAGCTCATTATTAGTGTCACTGCTTCTATACCTAACATCATAATTCAGTTTTCACATACTTTCTTTTTTTGTTGTTTCTTTGAGACAGGGTCTCACTCTGTCACCCTGGCTAGAGTGCTGTGGTGTGATCACAGCTCACTGCAACCTCTTTGGGGCTCCAGCAATCCTCCTACTTCAGCCTCCCAAGTAGCTAAGACTTCAGGTGTGCACCACCTGAAGTCTATTTTTGTATTTTTTTAAAATACAAAAGTTTAAAATACAAAAATTTTTAATTTTTGTATTTTTTTGTAGAGATGGGGCTTTGCTATGTTGCCCAGGTTGGTCTTTAACTCCTGGGCTAAGCAATCTACCTGCTTTGGCCTCTCAAAATGTTGAGATTAATAGGCATGAGCCACCATGCCCAGCCTCCACATACTCTCTGAATGAACTATCTTGGAATAAGGGTTTAAAAAATTGATGATATCTCACACTGACTGTATCCTTTCAATGGGCTCCACATTGGAAGTAGAAAAATCTAGATTATTTTGTGTAACTAATAGAGCCTTATATGGTTTGTCTGCTGCATAACTGACCTCATCTTCTATTATTTTTCTGTTTCAATGTATTACAGCTACTTTGACATTAATGTTGTGCCTTAAATAAGGAAGCCTTTTCTTGCCCCAGAGTCTTGGCATTTCCTGTTGCCTTGGCCTAGAACACTCTGCTTACTGATTTTTATGGTTGATTTCTTATTTCTTATTGTTACTCAGGTATTATTTCAAATATTGAATATGCAGTTCAGTAATAGAGTATTGAGAGGAAAGGAGCCAAAAAATTTTTCTGAAGTGCTGTACAGGTCCATATCTTGATCTACATAGTGAACATGCCAAAAAAAATGATGCAGTGATGCCTTGATTCATAATTTTTATGCACTTTTCTGTTTATTAAACATTTTAAAGTCCAGGTGTGGTGGCTCATGCCTGTAATCTCAGCACTTTGGGAGGCTGAAGTGGGCAGATCACCTGAGATCAGGAGTTCCAGCCCAGCCTGGCAAACATGGCAAAATCCCATCTCTACTAAAAATACAAAAATTAGCTGGGTGTGGTGGCACATGCCTGTAATCCCAGCTACTTGGGAGGCTGAGGCAGTAGAACTGCTTGAAACCAGGAGGTGGAGGTTGCAGTGAGCCGAGATCATGCCATTGCACTCCAGCCTGGGTGACAAGAATGAAACCCCATCTCAAAAAAAAAAAAAAATAAGATTTTTATATTAAACTCTTCAGAGTCCTCCCATGATTATTTATTTAAACAATCTGCCCAAGCAGATCCTATTACTCAGCTTTATTTCCTTTACAGAGGTTAACACTACTAGAAATAACTATATATTTAAATATACACATGTTTATTATGTCCTCCCAAGCTAGAATGTAAGATATTCAGGACATGCGTTTTGCTTGTCTTTTTCACCATTATATCTCTAAGAACTTGAACAGTACCTGGGACAGAGAAGGAACAAAATAATGTTTGCTTGAATAAGTTAAGGGAGAAGTTTAGCATATTTTATTAATTTTTTCACTATACAATGTACAGATAACTTACAGGGAAGGACATAGCCACCTTGGTTAAGCTCTTAATAACTGTGTCACAATTCATTATTTCCTTATGTTTCCTGAAGAAGAAAAAAATGTTGCATGATACATGCAAGGAAATTGGCATAATATCTCTTTATTAGAAATTTCTTCTCTCTCTTTTTGTTCCACCAATTGAAATTCTATTTATTTTCTTCTAATAGTTTTCTTTCAGAAGCCTTTCATAAATTTCACCTGTCTCAAATAGATATTATCTCAATCTTTTCAAAATTCGTGTAAACATTATTTTTCCATCTTGCCTATATTAAACATATTTGAGTCCTGAATACTTCCATTTAACTAAAAACTTCTTGAGAGGAGAAAATGTCCATATTTATCTTTCACTTCTGTAGTTTTTCATAGTGGTATGTACATATTATGCCTTTAATGAATATTTTAATTGGATTTATTCAAAATTCCAGGCAGGCTGTTAAGAGGCAAGGCTATGATTAGGAGACAGCAAATAGATTAGTATGAAGAGAGAACCTAATTAGGTAAAGAGGTTATCAAAGCAAAGTCTTCTTGACTTACTTTCCTGTCTGTTGTCTCAACTATTCTAATGAATTTCCCAGGTCAGAACTTATTAAAACCATAAGTTTGATTATGATTACGACCCTACTGCTTAAAATGCTCCAATGGATAAACTGCCTTCTGAATAAAACAGAGGTTTCTTTAAAAAGTTTTGTTTAAGATATATCATTTTATGGGATACATAAATATTGTAAAGAGGTTACTGCATTGAAGCAAATTCACCTATCCATTGTTTCACAATTACTCATTTTTAATTAACTAATTAATTAATTAATTTTTTTTTTTTGAGACAAAATCTTGCTCTGTCGCCCAGGCTGGAGTGCAGTGGCACAATCACTGCTCACTGTAACCACTGCCTTCTAGGTTCAAGAGATTCTCCTGCCTCAGACTCCCAAGTAGCTGGAATCACAGGCACCCGCCATCACATCTGGCTAATTTTTGTATTTTTGTAGAGATGGGATTTCTGGTCTTAGCCAGGCTGGTCTCCAACTCTTAACCTCAAGTGATCCACTCGCCTTGGCCTCCCACAGTGCTGGGATTACAGGTATGAGCCACTGTGCCCGGCCAATTACTCACGTTTAAAATTTGTGTGGCAAGAGTAGCTAAAATCTACTAATTTAGCCGGAATCTCATATGAAGTACAACTTATTACACATAATCATAATGTACATTATACCTCTAGACTTATTGGTCCTTCATATCTGCTACTTTGTATCCTCAGACCTATACTTCCCCATGTCTTTTCCCCACTGCCCCACGCCTGGTAATCACTGGTTTGGTCTTTTTCTTTGTACATTTGAATTTCTTTTTGTTGTTTTAGATTTTATATATAAGTAAAATCATGCAATAGTTTTCCTTCTGTGCCTGGCTTGTTTCACTTTGCATAATATTTTCCAGGCTCATTCATGTTGTGGCAAAGGGCACTATCTCATTCTTTTTAGGGATGAGTAATGTTCCATTATATATATGTACCATTTTCCTTTATCTATTCATTCATTGACACTTAGATTTTTTCCACATCTTGACAATTGTGAATAATGCTGCAGTGACCGTGGAAGTGCAGGTATCTTTATGATGTGGTGATTTTATTTCCACTGGGTATATGTACAGAAGAAAGATTGCTGGGTCATATGGTAGTTTTATTTTTAATTTATTTAGAAACCTCCACATTGTTTTCATGATGACTGTACCAGTCTACATTCTTACCAACAGCATAAAATAGCTCCCTTTTCTCCACACTCTCATCAACATCTGTTATCTTTTGACTTTTTTATAATTATTTTAATGTATCACATAGTGGATTTGATTTACATTTTTCTGAGGATTAGTAATGTTGAGTACCTTTTCATATACCTGTTTGCCATTTTATTATATATTTCTGCTATGGAGAAATGTCTATTTAGGTTTTTTGCCCATTTTTTAGTAGAGTTATTTGGTTTTCCACTCTTGAGTTGTAGGAGCTCTTTATAAATTTTGAATATTAATCCCTTATCAGCTTTGTAGTTTGCAAATATTTTTTCTTAATCTGCAGGCTGCCATTTTATTTGTAGATTATTTCCTTTGCTTTTGCAGAAGATTTTATGTTTGATGTAATTTTTTTTTATGTATTTACTTTTGCTTTTCTAGCCTGAGCTTTGGCAGTGATATCCAAAAAACCCATTGCCAAAGCCAATATCAAGGAGTTTTTCCCCTATGTTGTCTTTCAGGAGTTTTATAGTTTCTGGCCTTATATCTTTTATCCATTTTGAGTTTATTGTTGTGTATGGTGTAAGGTAAAAGTCCATTTTATCCTTTTGTATGTTGAAATCTAGTTTTCCCAATACAATTTATTGAAGAGACTATCCTTTCCCCATTGTGTGCTTTTGGCATCTTTTACAAAAAGCAGTTGACCATCAATGTGTGGATTTATTTTTTGGCTCTCTATTCCGTTCCAGTGCTCTATATGTCTGTTTTTATGCTAGCACCGTACTTTTTTGATTACTATAACTTTGTAATAGATTTTTAAATCAGAATATGTGGTGCTATCAACTTCATTTTTCTTTCTCAGAATGGTTTTGGCTATCCAGGGTCTTTTATCATTCTGTATAAATTTTAGGATTGATTTTTCTATTTCTGTGAAACATGCTATTGGGATATGGGTAGGGATTGTGTGTATTAAATTTGTAAATACACTTGGGTAGTATGGATTTTCAATAATATTAAATTCTGCATATTCATGAGCATGGAATATCTTTCCATTTATTTGTGTCTTCTTCAATTTTGTTCATAAATGTTTTATAGTTTATTTTTTAATAAACCTTTCACTTTCTGGGTTATATTCATTCCTAGGTATTTTTTATGTTATCATAAATGGAATTGTTTTCTTGATTTCTTTTTCAGTTAGGCTGTTGTGTATAAAAATACTACTAATTTTATATGTTGATTTGAGTATTGCAACTTTACTGAATTCATTTATTTGTTCTAACAGTTTTTTGTGTAGTATTCAGGGAATTTTACATATAGGATCATGCCATTATTCAAAGCAAGATAATTTTATGTCTTCCTTTCAAATTTGGATGCCTTTATTTCTTTTTCTTGTCTGATCATTCTTACTAGTACTTCTAGTACTATTCTGAATAAAAGTGGCAGGAGTGACATCCTTGCCTTGTACTGGATCATAGTGGAAAAAGTTTCACTGTTCCTCCCTTAATAATAATGTGGGCTGTGTTAATAAATTACTTTAATTTTATTGAGAAACATTCTTTCTATATTTAAACTGCTGAGAGCTTTTATCAAGAAAAAATGTTGGAGTTTGTCAAATGCTTTTTCCACATCAATTGCGAAGATCATGTGTTTTTTCTTTCATTCTGTTAATGTGATGTATCACATTGATTGACTTGTATATGTTACACTAGCCTTGCATGCCAGAAATAATTTCACTTGGTCATCATCTATAATGTTTTTGACATGTTGATGGGTTTATTTGTTAACAATTTACTGAAGATTTTTGAATCAATGTTTATTTGTGAAATTGGTCTCTAGTTTTTTCCTGTGATGTCTCTGGCATAGGTGTCAAGATGATGATGGCCTACTAAAATGTGTTTGAAAGTGTTTCCTCTGGCTCTCTTTTCAAAAGAGTTTAAGAAGTTTTGGTATTAATTATTTTTTTAATGTTTGGTAGAATTCAGCTGTGAAGGCATCTGGTCCTAGGCTTTTCTTTATTGGGAGACTTTCTCACTACTTCTTCAATCTATTTGTTATTGGTCTATCTAGTCTTTATATGTCTTCCTGACTCAATGTTGGTAGGTTATATTTTTCTAGGAATTTATCTCTATAGGTTATCCAATTTGGTGGCATATAATTATTCATAATTATCCCATATGATCCTTTTTATTTCTGAAGTATCCATTGCAATTTCCTCACTTTTATTTTTGATTTTATTTATTTGAGTCTTCTCTTTTTCTCTTGATTAGACTAAGGGCTTGTCAATTTTTTTTATTATTTTCAAAAAGCTAAGTCTTCACTTTATTAATTCCTTCTGTGGTTTGTTTTGTTCTTTATTTTTGTTCTAATTTTTTTTCTGCTGCCAAATTTGGGTTTAGTTTGTGGTTTTTTTAGTTCCTTCAGGCATAATGTTAGACTATTTACTAGAGATCTTTATTCTTTTTTCATGTTGGCACATAGGTCAATAAAATTCCTTCTTAGAATTGCTTTTGCTTTAAGCCATAGGTTTTGGTATGTTGTGTTTTCATTTACATTTGTCTCATAATATTTCTTTATTTTCTTTCTGATTTCTCCCTTGGATCGTTTGTTGTTCAGGAGCATGTTGTTCAATTTCCACATGTTTGTGAGTTTTCCAAGATTCTTTGTTTTATTGATTTTCAGTTTCATATCGTTTTGGTATGAAATGATACTAAATACGATTTCAATATTCTTAACATTTTTAAGACATGTTTTATGGCCTAACATATGGTCTATCCTGGAGAATGTTCCACGTGTGCCAAAAAAAAAAGTGTATTCTGCTGCTCTTAAATAAAACATTATATATATGTCTGTTAGGTCCGTTTGATCAAAAGTGTAATTCAAGTTCAATATTTTCTTATTAATTTTTTTCTGACTGACCTATTCATTGATAAAAGTGAAATAGTGAAGTTCCCTACTATTATTATATTGCTATCTATTCCTTCCTTTATATCCTTTAGTATTTGCTTTATGCATTTAGGTGCTCGAAGATTGGGTGCGTATATATTTACAATGGTTGTGTTCTCTTGGTGAGTTATCCCTTTATTATTAAATAATGATCTTCTTTGTCTTCTGCAACATCTGTTGACTTGAAATCTGTTTTATCAGTTATAAGTGTAGCCACTCCTGATCTTTTTTGGTAATTATTTGCATGGAATATCTTCTTTCATTCTTTCACTTGCAGCCATATCTGTCCTTAAAGCTTAAGTGGACTCTTATAGGGAGCCTATAGTTGGATCCTATAATTTAATGCATTCAGCCACTGTCTTTTCATTGAAAAATTTAACCCATTTACCTTCAAGATCCTTATTGACAGGTTTCTGGTTTTGTTATACCAGTATTGTGCCTTTCTTCCTCTCTTGTTGTCTATCTTTGTGATTTGATTATTTCCATAGTGCTAAGCTTCGATACCTTTTACTTTATTGTTTTTATGTCTGCTGTACATTTTTGTTTTGTGATTACCAGAAGGTTTACATAAAACCTCTTACAGTTATATACTATTTTAAGCTAATAACACCTTAACTTCCATTAAATACAAAAATCTAGACTTTTACTCTCCCCACGTGATATATATTTGATGTCACAATTTGCATCTTTTATATTGTGTATTCCTTAATAATTTATTGTAGCTTTAATTATTTTTGTAAGTTTTGACTTTTAGCCTTCATACCAGATATGTATATGATTTGGAAACCAACATTAAGATATTGGAGTATTCTGGGCCGGGCGTGGTGGCTCACACCTGTAATCCCAGCACTTTGGGAGGCCGAGGCAGGTGGATCACGAGGTCAGGAGATTGAGACCATCCTGGCTAACACAGTGAAACCCCGTCTCTACTAAAAATACCAAAAAATTAGCCAGGTGTGGTGGTGGGGCCTGTAGTCCCAGCTACTTGGGAGGCTGAGGCAGGAGAATGGCATGAACCTGGGAGGTGGAGCTTGCAGTGAGCCAAGATTGTGCCACTGCACTCCAGCCTGGGTGACAGAGCGAGACCCCATCTCAAAAAAAAAAAAAAACAAAACAAAAAAACAGATATTGAAGTATTCTGGATTTGACTGTGTATTTACTCTATCAGTGAGTTTTATATTTTTATATGCATTTGTGGTAGTAACTAACATCCTTTTATTTCTGCTCAAAAAACTCCCTTAATCATTTCTCATAAGACGTGTGTGGTGGTAATGAATTCCCTCAGTTTTTGCTTGTCTGGAGATTTTATTTCTCCTTCATTTTTGAAAGACAGCTTTTTGCTGGGTATAGCATTTTTGACTGACAGGTACTTTCCTTCAGCACTTTGAATATATCATGTTATTCTCTCCTGACCTGCAAGATTTCTGCTGAGAAATTCACTTTTACTTTAATATAGATTTCCTTATATGTGACTTGATGCTTTTTTCTTTCTGCTTTTAAAATTATCTTTGTATTTGACTGTTGAAAGCTTCATTATAATGTGTCTTAGGGAAAATTTTTTCAGATTGAACCTTTATGGGAACTTTTGAGCTCCATGGGTCTAGATGTCCATATCTCTCTAAAAACTTGGGAAGTTTTTAGCAATTATTTTATAAAGTAAGCTTTCTGTTCCTTTCTCTGTCTCTTCTCCTAAAATTTCAATAATGCAAATATCTGTTCACTTAAAGGTGTTCCATAAATCTTGTAGGCTGTCTTCATTCTTTTTCATTATATTTTTTCTTTTTCTTCTGTTTAGTGAGTCACTTCAAAAGACTTAATTCAGTTTAAAGATTCTTTATTTTGCTTGAGCTAGTCTGCTATTGAAGCTCTCAATTATATTTTTTATTTCATTGATATAATTCTTAAGCTCTAAGATTTATGTTTTGCTTTTTAAAAATATCTTTTTGTTGATTTTCTCAATCAGATCATAAATTGATTTTCAGATTTTATTAAATCCTGTTTGTATTCTCTTATGTCTCTCCAAATTTCCTTAAAATCATTATTTTGAATTTCTTTCCAGGTGATTTGTAAATTTCTGTTTCTTTGGGGTCAGCTACGGGAGAGTTATTGTATTTCTTTGTTGTTTGATGTTTCCTTGCTTTTTGATGTTTCTTGTGTCCTTGCGTTGATGCCTGTGCATCTGTTGGTGAAGCTGCCTGTACCAAACTTTACAAAGTAGCTACTGTAAAGAAAGATTTTTACCTGCATATGAATCTGAGGGTGCCATTTGGGCTGGATGTGATGGTTCTTGTTCTGTGTGAGCTCAGTGGTATAATCTTTGTGCTTCTTTTTCAGTTGTGTTCAATGTTAGCAATGACTGCTGGTGTCCTCAGTAATTTATATTGTGGGAGTTTGTGGCAGTGGTGTTGGCTGCTTAGGTGATTAGGGCAAGGTCTCTAGGGATCTTCCTGTTTTTTTATTTCTTCACAGTGGGGAGTCTTAGTTTGGGGGATCTCTTTTGCTATTGGGTCTGACATGGCTCACAGGCAACCACAGTGGCACTGGCATCTAGGGCTCAGGAAGAATTTGGAGATGGGTTCCTGGGCTCAGGAACTTTGTAAAACTACTGTAGCACTTGAAACTTGAGGTACAAGTTTATTATTCAAGGCATAAGTGGATGCTTTTCTCCCACTAAGTTAGGGTCTGTTGCTCTGACGCAGATTCCAGTAGCTGGGACCCAGGGATCTGGGGTTTAGCTGTGGTTATGACCCTGAAGGGCAAGGTACACCAACAGCATGGCTCCAGACAAGAAAGCTTGAGCCCTGGGGAGCACAACACAGTTGCAATTCAGGACCCAGAACTAATAGGGCACAGGGGCAGCTTGGGCTCTGAAGGATGAGAGGATGAGGTACCAGCAGTGGTGACTCTGGACCCTAGGGAATGTCAGTAATCCAGGCTTATGAGGATAGATGCAGTGGCAGCAAAAAAACAGAAATGGCAAGATGTCACACTGACTTGGTCCCTGAGGGGCAAGGAGCAGCACAGTGATAACCACTCCTTGAAGAGACACATTTTCTCAGCAATTTGAACTGCAGGGAGCTAGTCCAGATCTGGGTAAGCAGGGTACTGTGGCAGTCTGACCTTAAAGTCAGGATGGCACAGCTTAGCTAGGGCTCTGATTCTCTGAGATACAAGTATTTTATCTGTTTGGCCCCAGCAAGAACAGTTACGCCAGTCAGTGAAGGCTCTGAATCCCTGGGGATGAGGTGGCATGTCAGATGTGGTGCTGAAAGATGCAATTTCTCTAGTGTGTTAGAGGCTGGTAGCCCCTGAGGGGTAAGGTGCTGCATCATCTGTGGCATGGGGTGGCACAACTGCTCACATGTGCCAGAGGTCTGAGGTCCCCAGGAGTCATGGTGTTGTCTCAACTGTGGCACCAACGGGTATTAAGGCTCCAGTGTTTGAGGGAGACCTGACGTCCTCAGGGGGTAGGGTGCTGGGTCTTTTCTGGGGCCAGGGCACTGCTGCTTCAGTATTTCAAGACTCCACGTCTGGTACTTAGCTCAGCCCTAAGGTGAGAACATGACAGTGACTGGAATTGGGTGGGAGATGGAGCAGCTCTGTGCTAACTTGGATGTAGAAAATAGGGAGCAAAATATTTGCTTGAGGATGGCATGCTACCAGGTGGTCATGGTACAGTGGTAACTGAACCTCAAGAATGATGGGATGCAATGGCTACCACCCTCAGAGCAGGATGCACTCTAGCAGTGGTTCTAGTTCCAAGATGGCGCAGAGTAATAGCAGCACAGGCCTCGGGGATCATAGTAGGACACAACACTATCTCCTTCCCTGGGGGCAGTTCAGTGTGTGGACTTCAGGGAGCTACCTAACCTGGACCTAGCCCAGTACCTGTAAGGACTATAGCAATCTCCAGTAGCAAAGACTACAGGTGACCGTGGTGGTGATGGGGGCTACTAGGGTCCTCTTTCATACCTTTTTGTCTGTAGGAAAAGTCCCTTCTGGTCCCAGTGTGATCCCAACTAGGGGGATGCGGTGGCATAATCAAAGCGTTTCCTTCCCTTTTCTGTGTGGCCATACTAGGCTTCTGTGTTCTACAGGATTTCTGTTGCTTCTTTGCTCTCCTCTGGTGCTCTTCTTTGGATATTTTGGTTGAAATATAGTTGCTTATTTATTATTTTGCATCTTGTGTTGGGGAAAGAGTACTAGGAGCTTCTAGTCAACCATCTTGCTGCCATCACTGAAAACAGAAGTTCCTTAAAATGTCATAGGATTGGTTTTCTGTAGCCTATACATCCTCTCACCACCACCTCATCATTGACATGTAGCCATAGAATATATTATGTTCATTTTATGATTGTAGGATGTTGCATATGCATAGAGCACTGTTACTCCCCTTTGTACACTTAAATTATTCATTTTATCCTTCAAAATGTAATTCAAGTGTTATCTCCTTAGGAAACCTCCCTGACTACTTTAATTCAATTGGGGGCTCTTATGCTGTGCTGAAATACTCTTGGGAAAGAACCCCTGTCATACCCCTGCCTATTATAATTGTTAGATTTTAAGAAATCTAAGTAAGCCATGGGAGTGTGATCTTTCCCTCAGAAATGAGACTCTGGCTTGTTTACCTCCCTATCCTCAGTACTCAGAAGAATTTTTGGCAATTAGTTTGGCACTAAAAACCTTCTGTTAAATAAATGAGTGGATGAGTAAGTGACTGAAGGGTTGAAGGATGGATATATTGATGGGTGAATAATATACTAGTTTGGGAGGAGAGTTAGAACTTATTTTTTTAAAAGAAAAAATATGAGGATATTATTCTTGAAAACATATTGATAGTTTCTTATACTCATTTTGACAAATAGGAAGTAACATATCTGGGTGATAAAAATATACTGTGAGGGAGACTCAACCTAACAACAATGACCTGAGACTAAATCATTAGCTTGGGAGCTCTGGGAGATGAATATTTAATACACTCAATTGCTTAGTCACTCTTTTTTCATTGCCATTTGTCATTGACATTCTTATAACTGGTAGACATTATATATGCAAGGAAAAAGAGAGACACTGTGGCATACTCAACGTAAAAAGTATATCTTGAATTCACGTTACTGTTTCAGTAAAGGCATTGTCAGATATTAGGTATTCTGGGTCAAGGCTGCTCCCCGAAACTATGAAGTCTCTGCTTTTCTTGCACACAATGCCAGTTTGACGTGGACCATAATGGAAATCTGTAGCACTGAAAGTTATTCAGGGCATTTCCCTTGAGAGTCCTATCTGTTATGTGCTGGGCCTGTATGACATTACACTAGGGCATTCCAGAGAACAGAAATATTACAGCTGGCCTATAGCCTGGAAGATGACTTCTTCATAATAATATTTCAAGGGAAACTTATTTTGCCAGAGATACAAAGACACGTATGGCCAAGGGTTTTCTAAGTGACTGCTACTCTTAGAGCTTTGGTACCTAGCGGTCTTTAGGCTGGAATTATCTTTATGAAACTGCTCGAGTATATATTTTAGGATATCATAGACAAAACATATGGTACGAAATATAATTAAATGCTAAACTAATAATGCCCCAAATGCATACAATCTAATAGCAATCTAAGAGACCATCTTGAGACCAGAATAACGGGGAAACATGGCAAGTCAACAAGTGTGGTAGGAAAGATAGATAAAAGGGAAGCATATTTCTAGAAAGATCCAGTTCAGAATAATTTAATCACAGGGCATAGGATTATATAGTATTGGCAGCCATCAGAAGCAGATTTTCAGTGATCATAATGTCATGATTCTATTGATGATCTGTTCCCAAAGACTTGAGGACAGAGTGCCATTTAATGGTACATCACAGAATGTGCTGTCTTGGATGTCTGTTCCATGGGGAAGTCAGTTTGAGTTCAGGATCCAGATAAGAAGAGAGACTCACTGACAAAAATGCTTGAATGCATTTTTGTTGTTCCCTCTCCCATTTCACAAGAAACCTTGAACTTAAAAGCCTCAGGTCAGAGTGAATTTTATGATACTTCCCCAGATTTATAAAAAAAAAATTGAGAATTAATACTTTAAAAAAATTTCAAATTTTATTAGAAGTTTATTAGCTGGCTTGTTACGTGGGTAAACTGTGTGACACTGAGGCTTGGGATTCCAAAGATCCCATCACCCAGGCCAGAAGCATAGGACCCAACAGGTGATCATTCAGCCCATGTCCCCTTCCTTTCCTTCCCCATTTAGTGATCCCTGGCCTCTATTGTTTTCATCTTTACAATCACGTGTATTCAAAGTTTAGTTCCCACTTATAAGTGAGAACATGCAAGATTTCATCAGACAAAGGTCTAATATCCAGAATCTATAAGGAATTTAAACAAATCAACAAGCAAAAAACAAACAGTCCAGTTAGAAAACAGGCAAAGAACATAAACAGAAACTTTTCAAAAGAAGACATAGAAGTGGCCAACAAACATATGAAAAAATGCTCAACATCACTACTCATCAGAGAAATGCAAGTCAAAACTATTATGGGATACCACCTCACACCAATTAGAATGGCTATTATTAAAAAGTAAAACAACAATAGATGTTGACAAGGCTGCAGATAAAAGGGAACGCTTATACACTGTTGGTGGGAATGCAAACTAGCTCAGCCACTGTAGAAAGCAGTTTAGAGATTTTTCAAAGAACTTAAAATAGGACTACCATTCAACCCAGAAATCTCACTGGCGTATATACCCAAAGGAAAATAATGCGTTCTGTCATAAAGACACATACATGCCTATGTTCCCAACAGCACTATTCACAACAGTAGACATGAAATCAACCTAAGTGGCTACCAACAGTGGACTGAATAAAGAAAATGTGGTACATATACACCATGAAATACCAAGCAGCCATAAAAAAGAATAAGATCATGCCCTTTGCAGCAACCTGGATGGAGCTGTAAGCCATCATATTAAGCAACCAAACACAAGAAGAGAGAAGTAACTCTTAAAAAGAAAAATAGAAGATCCAGAAGCAAGAAGGAATTAGACCTAGACATCTTAACACAGGACAAGAACAATATAAAACATACAGAAATAAATCTAAACTGGGCTATATCCCTTAGTTCTACCAAGTCACCATCAGTTTTTTGGAGGAAAAGCTCTGGGAAAAGATGTGGAAACTCATAGTTTTGCATATGTACAGTGAGCTGATTATAATCCTTATTGCAACTGTGGATTTAAACATTAATATCAACAAACTCCTTTGCCAACTTCACCGAATAGTCTTGCACTGAGAAAAATAACTAAAAAAGTCAGTCTTGATATTACGTGTGTGTGTGTGTGTGTGTGTGTGTGTGTTGTTTGAAAAGGACTGTACATATCTAATAACTAACTGGAATTAAGATTTTGTTGTCCAATGTGAACAAAATGAGCCAAGAAGCATTGTGGTGAGGGATAAATTAGTGAAAATACATAGTATGTACAGTGCCTGGTTCATAATAAGAGCTATTCCTGATCCAGTGATTATTCCACAATTTTGTCTTGAATCTTCTTTATGTTGATGTGATTTATAAAACATGGAAACAATGAAATTCCTTCATAACTTAATTTATAAAAATATATTTATATATCGGTTTGACAAAATTATTTCATATATATTAGCTCAAGAAATAATAGCCATTTAGAAGTACAGCTGTCATTCTGTCACTCAGAAAATGTGTCTACTGAACTGCTTCTGTGTGTGCAGTATCATGTTACTTTGAATAGAAAGAGATCACCTATCTGGTTTTACCTCCCAAAGCATATATAGTAAAGAAGATGATTATTACCTCTCATTTCACAGAAGAAAAACCTGGTGCCCAGGGAGATCATATCACTAAATTTCACATCATCATCATCATCAAGTATAAAATTCCCCTGGAAAGAAGTATGAGGATTTTAATGAGAGAGAGAAAAAAAAAAGGTACCCCACTGAGCAAGGAAAGGAAGAAGGAAGAGAGTAAAGAGAGTACAAGGAAGGGAATAGTGATGCTTTGGGAGAAACATTAGGAAGGACTGGAAACTGAAACCACATCATCCTCTTATGGCTCCTGTCCCAGTGTTTCTGGTGCTGCCTTCCTTTTTCTCATTAAAAGCATAAAGTATACTCTTTTCTTTCTAACTCTTTCATATTCTGAAAAACTGTAAGTTTCAAGGAAAATAAAAATTATATAAAAGGAAAGAATAAATCAATCCACAGGGAAGAAGTGATTGCCCTGGGACCTTTGGCAAAAATCCTTTTTTTTTTTTACCACTGGGATAGATTTTCTTCAAGTCCTGAAAGCCATTCTATGAGGAATGATCTCAATGACATTTTAAAAAGGACAATATTATTCCAATGCTAGCTGTGGATTCATTACTGTGCTTTTGATCCATAATGTTTGAAGCATCAATTATCCCTTTTGTGAGAAAAAGAGTGAATTTATGACCCATGGCAGCAAAGACAATAGTTTCCCTTTCACAGCCATCTGCACAAATTTATTTCTCTTACTTGATTATTTAATTTTACTCCTTAATCAGCTGTTCAAACACTTGAATTCTCTCAAGACCCTCGTTCTCTTTCTCACCCCCATCTTCCCTGCCCCCAGGGCCAATCAATAATCACTACAGTATGTGTCTTTCCTTTGTAAAAATATTAATGCTAAAAATCTCCATGTGAGTACTTCTGATTATTGTGCTCTGCAGGCGGCCTTTCCTGTTTCTTTTCCTCTCCCAAAATATCCCCTAAGCAACTTATGCTAATTAACTATAGCTGAAAAGATAAAAGTTCAAATTGTGTTTTACAATAAGAATTTCAATACTGTCCAAAGCAAAAAAAAAGAAAAGAAAAACGGGGGAGGGGTGGGGTTGTTATAAAGTTTTTTCAGAATTTAATCTTTTCAAATAAACATTATGCTCCTAATGTTAGGTAAGTCATTTAATAATTTGGGGACTTGTTATAATACTAATGTGATTAATACTTACGACCCTGTTTATGTAGTTTTTTTGGGTTATTTTTTCTAAATTAGATGAACAAAATGAGCTCCAAAGTGGATTGACTGTACACACACGAGGGTGTCTACAAATAATGCATTGGGATGTAGGAAGAAAATTGTAGAGCTCATTTTTCTACTCACTCTTTTATTTAAAAAATACATTTTAAACTTACTCTTCATACACAAACTGACACTCATTACTTGGTTTATTCATTACAAATGATATATGCAAAATTCTGAGGCAAACATGGAAGTGAGTAACTGTTAACCATGAAAGTGGTTAATTTTATAAAAGGAAGATTTTTAAGCAGTAAAACCTTTACAAAAGTTTTTAATACAATCTAGTGTGATCATAAAAAATATTGTGTAGCTCAGCCAGGCACGGTGGCTCACGCCTGTAATCCCAGCACTTTGGGAGGCCGAGGCGGGCAGATCACGAGGTCAGGAGATCGAGACCATCCCGGCTAATACGGTGAAACTGTTACCTGGGGTCCTTGCTCCCAAAGCTCCAAAGATGGTGGTGGGCCACCTCCAAGATGGCGGTGGGCCACCTCCAAGATGGTGGCAAGCTTCCTGTTCTCTGACCTGGGGTTCTTGGCCTCACGGATTCCAAGGAATGGAATCTTGGGCCACGCAGTGAGTGTTATAGCTCTATTAGAAGTCGTGGGTCATGTAAGAGAACCGTGGAACCCAGTGACTAGTGTTCAGCTCGATTAGGATGAACCCAGGCACTTAGCTGTGCAGGAACAATGGCAAGCCTTTAGCCAGGTCAGGAGCGGCAATGGGGGCCTTGCTGGATCAGGAGCACAGCGGACACCCTGCTGGATCCGGAAGAATGGAAGTCAGCGGCGGGTCTGCGACAGTGGCAAAACAGCAGTGGTGGATATCGAGCGAAAGCTCAGCTCCAGCCGTAACAAACACGGATCAGAAGAGTGCAGTTGCAAGATTTAGTAGAATGAAATAGAGTGAAAACAGAGCTCCCATACAAAGGTAGGGGACCCAAAGGGGGTTGCCATTGCCGGCTGGAATGCCTGGGTTTATATCCTGATCCTTGTCCCTCCCCCTGTCCTCTCAGGCAATAGATGATTGGCTATTTCTTTACCTCCTGTTTTTGCCTAATTAGCATTTTGGTGAGCTCTCTGATTGGTTGGGTGTGAGCTAAGTTGCAAGCCCAGTGTTTAAAGGTGGATGCGGTCACCTTCCCAGCTAGGCTTAGGGATTCTTAGTCCGCCTAGGAAATTCAGCTAGTCCTGTCTCTCAAAACCTTGCCTCTACTAAAAATACAAAAATTAGCCGGACGTGGTGGCGGGTGCCTGTAGTCCCAGCTACTCGGGACGCTGAGGCGGGAGAATGGCATGAACCCGGGAGGCAGAACTTGCAGTGAGGTGAGATCGCACCACTGCACTCCAGACTGGGCGACACAGTGAGACTCTGTCTCTAAATAAATAAATAAATAAATAAATAAATAAATAAATAAATAATTGTGCAGCTCATGAACTTTCATAAGGTACCTAATAGGAAAAACCATAGAACGGCTGTTGAACTTGGATACTTTTTTTTCCCAAAGATATGGATTTCCATTTTTCTGACCTTAATTGCAGCAAGTGGCTATGGGTAGGAATCCATGAAAAAATGCATGTAATTTGTCCTTTGAAGGTAAAGGAGATATTACTGCATTGCAAAATTTTAAACCTAAGTTTTCAAAATTATAGAAAAATGTTCCACTACTAATGGTATATCATATAAACAATGATATATATATATATTTAATTATATCATGTAAACAATGACCTCTTTGGTTATTTTAATAAACAAAATAAAAATATAATTTTTGAAATAGCATTTATTCGGTTTTTATCACTTATTTTTAAGATTAATATTTTGTGTATATTTCTACTAAACATAAAAATAACTATTAAATGGATAGATAGCATAGGGAGCAATTATTTTGATTGATAAAGCTATATAGTGATTAAAATATGGCAAAAAATCTAAATGGAAGAATTACAAAGTAATGAAGAAACTACAAAATTCATCAAATCTAAATATCCCCCCTTTTCATATATGTAAACCAAGGCACTGGAAGTTATTTCACTAGCCCAACTCCGCAACGCTTTTTAAGTGCAGGCTGGCCTGAACTCAAGTGTCTGGACTATGTTTGAAAACACCACCCGTGAGGCTGTATAATCTGGCTATTTTTTTCTTCCTAGCGTTATCACTTAATATTTTACACATTCTGAACTGTTTGCGTTACCAGATATGCTCCATGAACTTTCTTCCCCGTTTGCATCTGTTTTTTTTTTTTTTTAAATCTCATTTGCTCTTCTCCAGAATCCTTGCTATTCTTCCTAGTTTATCCTTCAGAGACTCAGGCACAGACATCACTTCTTTGAGAACATAAAAGGATACATATGACAAAATAAAAATAAACTTTCACAATATTGTCTAAACTCTCATTGCATAAACAGGAAAGCCCAAATAAGTAATGCAACCCAGGTCGCCCAGTGCCCCAGTATCATAATCCAGTGACTTTTTTTACTTCCCCTAAATAATATCCAACTGTGATAACATTGGCAACAAATAAAATATGACTATTTTATATCCGATTACTCATTATAAATGCTTTAGCTTAATTTGTACCTAAAATTAATCACAGAAGAGAAAATAGATTAGTTTTCCAATTAGCTCTTAAAGTACTAATAATCAGATCTATTTGCATGGCTTATTAAATGTTCCTTACAGCATCTTTAAAAAGCGATTTATAACTTTTCTATTAGTATACAGGAGCAAAGATATTGAAAATATTTATTCAGTAATTCAGGGCAAACCTGAATAAGGACAAGAGGTGTTTTTCATAAGTCAATTTGTGCTCAATTTACCTGTCACAGAGTTGGTTTTCTTCTGTTGAGCTGATCTGAAACATTTTTACTGATTAGGGTTTTGCAACAGAGGATTTCAAAATGCAAATGTATCTACAGCAAGATGTGCCAAGGTAAGAAAACTTCTAGTTTGGGGTTCTAGGTAGACAGGTGTGTTCCCAACTCTACCTTCTCCCGTTTCCTCTTTAATTATTCGTCAGTTGGAGTTAGATCCTCCAAAGCTTATAACTAGTACTTTGAATAAAACATGGCCTTTGTGAAAGTTCTAATTTAGTGTTTCATTTTGTTAGGCAAATGTAATTTAAAATGATCATTTAAAAAATAATAATAGTTGAATAGCAGGCATAAGATTTTAGCCACACAGAACAGTTATGCTTAGGTGTGACCCTTTTTCTGGGGAATTGAACTCAACTTATTTTAGAAACCTCCATCTGGTTCAATATCTAAAATTTAATCATGTCTAATTTTTTAGGTAGTCCTTTAGCTCTTAGGTTAGACACTTAAATAACTATTCAGTCAATTATGTATTTTTCTCAATAGTCTTCTCTTTTTTTTTTTTTCCTCTGAAATGATTTAAATTCATGAGTGGGGGAGAGTATAGCTTATTTATTGCCCTCGCATCAATGGAAACTTCTTTTTTACCATTGTTTTTTTAACAGCACTGGCTTCCACCAAGACTAACTCAGTCTATTTGGTCTTCATCATCGTATGCTAGCATCTTCTGGTAATATCAATGACATTCCCATGACCTCTGGTATCCAACTCTGTGTCTTATTGTGCAGCACTATCTCTTTGTTCTGCTCAGTAATTCTCGGGGAATACTGCACTCACTAACTGAACCTAGGGAACTTTCATAGACACTCTCACATAGCAATGGGATACAAGGGCTCTCTGAATCTGCCTTTGGGCCCATTCTCTTTGGCTCCACACTTATCCATTGTTAACACAGTCAGGGTTTAGTCTGGATATAGGATTACTCTAAGACAGTCTAATTTCTCCATGCTATAAGCTGGGGAGGTACAAGGCTCTCTGTCTCAGGCCTGAGTGAACCTACTCTCACATCTACCTTTTGCAATTCTGTCCTAGATGCTTTCCTTTTATTATGCCTTTTGTTATGCCTTTATCGTGGTAGGAAAATGAGCTCTTACCTAATTCACACATTCTATTTCTGATATGGTTCAGGTATAATCTCTCTGCTCTGACATCTCTAACCTTTTAATATTATAGAGCCCAAAATCCCTTTGTCTACAAAATTCTGATATTTTCCACAGAGATACTCCCCTATGTCAAGCATCTGTATATTTAAACAATATATCCAGATATTCACTTGCCTTGTCTCAGTCTATGTCAGCCTTTTCCCAGAAATAATGAATGCCACTGATTCACTGACCAAATAGCCTCAGTATGATGGGAAAATTTTTATTTCTTAAAAAAAAACAAAACAAAACTCAGTTATCTCAAAGTATTATTATGTTGTTAGATCTTATATTAATTTGCAAATTTGAAATTCTTTTGGCAAGTAAAATGCATATTTTATGCATGGAGACAGAATCTACCCAAATATCTCAATTATAGCTAGAAATAATGATAATAACCCTAAATTGCAAACACTTTTTAGCACTTGCATTCACACAAATAAGATAGAACATTTATAACGCTACCATTGTGGGATCTGGATAGACTATTTATAAACTAATTTAATTAGTGGGCAAAGTTCTTAACATTTCAGGGATATATTCTGAACTGCAACATATCCTTATCCGGGTAACAATAAGCTTGACAATATATGTGAGAATTCTACTCCTAAGACTTTTAGGAAATACAGATCAAATCCTATGAATAACAAATTCTATTACATCCAAACACTGTAACATGAAACTTTCAAAAGTGTAATTATTTCAAGGGATATTAAATACAACTGAATTCTAGTGCAGTAAAAGAATCCAATAAGTCCTCCAGTACGGTGATTGGATTTGAAATGAAACAGGGCACTTTAACAGTGTAGTTTCATTTCATGCTCCTGTATTTTGTCCAGATATTAAGATTTAAACATGGAATCAGCATGACCAATGCTTTATGTAGGTTGCTTTTAATTTTTAAGGAGTATACAATGTCATTAAATGGATCTTTCCTTTGTGGTATACCATAAAAATTGATTAGTCATCCCACACATCTTTCAACAACAAAAAATAATAATCTGATCTGATTATATTTTCCCATGGATTGACAACCTTGTTATAGATACCAAAATTTCCTTCACAGACTCTTTGATGTATCTCTTAAGAGTATTGTGTGGCCATCAGTTATGGTGTCTGTCTTGGTGAAATTCAATCGGAACTGTGAAGGAGCTAGTTTTCTCAGCATTATTAAGGGACCCATTAACTAACCTGCAACTGCGGTCAATGCTGGCATTCATATTTTTTAAAGAATCTTTTTTGAAATTTTATTACCACAGTTTTACTTTAAATATTTAGCAGAATCAAGATGAGCTCTGTAATTCATCTACCTTCCTAAAGTAAATAAAAATGTGAAAATAACATTGGGATATAATCCTACTGTTTAAATTTGTTTCTTTTTCTTTAATCTCACAGTAATGACTCCCTTCCTTACAAATTCTATTGCATCTACCACTCATTCTAAAACTGTCTTTTTGTTCTTGTGAACTGTTTTATCCTCATTTTGAGAGAGAAGTTCAATTATTTATAAGAACACTCAGTGAATTATTTTCAGTATGTTGGAAGTGGGAGTGTCATCTTTTGTTCTTTTCCATCTGTAACACATATGCCATCACTTGTTCATGCCTGAAATGTGTTTTCTGAAGTATGACTTTATTAAAGTGTATGTTAAGCCTTAAAATAGTCTGCTACTAAATAAAACTGCCAACTGTGATTTTTTTATTTTATATATATATTTTTTATTATACTTTAAGTTCTAGGGTACATGTGCACAACATGCAGGTTTGTTACATATGTATACATGTGCCATGTTGGTGTGCTGCACCCATTAACTCGTTATTTACATTAGGTATATCTCCTAATGCTATCCCTCCCCCCTAACCCCACCCCACAACAGTCCCCGGAGTGTGATGTTCCCCTTCCTGTGTCCATGTGTTCTCATTGTTCAATTCCCACCAATGAGTGAGAACATGGGGTGTTTGGTTTTTTGTCCTTGCGATAGTTTGCTGAGAATGTGGATGAAGCTGGAAACCAGCTGTGATTTTAATAAGTTTAACTTTTTGAGAATTTATTTATTTCAATTAAACCAAGAAAATTCAAATTAAAATATTAATTGTGTTTCTGAAGTAAATTAATTACATTAATCACTGGAGGAAAGACATAAAGATGAGTAACATTCAGTTTTTGCCCTTTGAGAGCTTACACTCATCCCAACGGGAAGGACAAACAGTTGAAAAAAACCAAACTCCCGAACTTTTTTCAAGTCAAATGAGATAGGTAATTTGACAGATCTATTAACAAAGACATTTAGTAGAACAAAGGGGAATCAGGAAACTTTTTACAAATGGGCTATCCTTTGGTATGGACTTTGAAAGTAAGTGTGGTGGAGTTTGCTAGCCGCTTACCTAAATCTGTCCTCATTTTCTTCCTGGGCACATATCTAGACTACATTTCCAACTTCCCTTGCAATTAGATTTGTTCATATAACTGAGTTATATTAATTGGATGGCAACAAGGGTAGGAAGTGTTATTTTCTGGCCTGGACTATTAGAATATCTTCTTAATGTGGTTTTCCCTACTGCCTAATTGGAATAAAGAGCCCCATAGGGTGACTTGAAAGCTAGAAAATTATAGACCCTTCAATGTCCTGAATGCCTGCGTGAAAGAGGGCCAGTCAGTCAATGGATTGCCTACTGAATCCTGTTACATAAGCAAGCAATCAATTTGGGTTTGAATATGATACATTTGGACATCTATATGTGACAGCAGCTAGCTTACCATAATTGATACAGATTGGTAACATTCTAGTAAGTGTTATTAGACATGAAGTTAAATGACATTATTCTGGTAGAGGAAATAACATGCCTAAAAGAATAAAACTAGAAAAACATGACTCTTATTCATGATGGTCTAGCAGTCCAATTGGGCTGAAGTATAAGTTGTAAATAGGAAAAAAGTAAAAAGATTGAAAGTGAAGGATTAGGTTGATTGAAAAGAACACTTGGCTATACCAATGCATATATGTTTTTTCCATTCAAATTCCCATTTTTCTGTTGCAGTCATAAATTTATCTTTCCATTTGCCCCTTTGTCCCTGGAATGCTTATAACCAAAGCAGATGTCTCAGTTCTAGCTTTGACTGGTTTTGACTGTTTTCCTTTGTATTGCTGTATCCTGTCTTTCTTTTTCTAGTCTACATATAATGCTGAGTCCGACAAACCATAATCTAGAGAAATACTTGTACATAATGTTTGCATGAATATCTAAAAGGCTCCTGGGGTAGAATAGGAAAGTGATTACAGGTATAGAATCAGAATCTATTTTTGTTTTCTTCTTTTATTTTCCCATTCTCACTTAGAGGTAAGGGTTAAGTTTGAGCTGTATGCATTTTTTTTTCTACTACCCAGTGGGATTTTTAAAAGTCTTTTTCTCATTTATATGGAGGATCGTATACATTTCAGTAGTATTTGCATGGAATGTTTCTACATGATGGCAATTATAAATTATTCCTTTCTGTTTTTCTTCAGCAGAATATAAATATCAACAGCAAAAACACTACTTAAAATTAATATTAGCTCACTTAACCCAAATTACAATCTTACAAGGTAGATACTATTGTTTGCCTCATTTTATTGGTAAACTGACACTTTGAGGGAAAGTTAACTTGCTCTAGGTTTCCGAGCTGATAAACAGTAGAGTCATAATTTGAACTCAAGCAGACTACAGAGCCCCAGCTCAGCTCATAAACACAACCCTATGATAGAAACCAGCTACATACACAACAATTGTCTCAGTGCATTTGTGCTGCTAGAACAAAATATCATACACTGGGTAATGCATAAACAATAGAAGTGTATTTCTTACAGGTCTGGAAGCTGCGAAGTTCAAGATCAAGGTGACTGTATTTCGATGTCTGGTGAGAGCCTTCTTCCTGTATTCTCACATGGTGGAAAAACAGAAGGGCAAAAAGGGGCCAAACTATTTCCCTCTAGCCCTTTTACAAGGCAGGAATCCATTCATGAGGGCAGAGCCCTCATGACCTAATTGCCTCTCGAAGAATACTCCCCTTAACACTGATGCATTGGGAATTAAGTTTCAACATGAATTTTGGAGGGGACATAAACATTCAAACGACAGCAGCAATCAATTTTCTCCACATTTTCCAGTCCTCTAGAAGGTTTTAGCACTAGTGACTACTTCTGGGAAAAATCTAGAAAGTCATAAGATGTCATACATTTTCTTTCATTCCTTGCTCTATTAACTGACTGAATGAAGAGGATGCAGTGGCAACACAAGGTGCAAGGAACCATGATCCCTGAAGTATATGGAAAGCCATCTGCCAAATGCCTGATTAGTCCATAAGGAGAGCAAGAAATAAACCTTTATTGTGTTAAGCACTGATAATTCTGAGTTATTTATTACAGCAGCTAACATTAATTGCTTGGATAATTGCACTGTTTATATCTAATGAGAACAATTTAAAATTTGAGGACTAATCTTCAGCATGTTTTGTTTAGCTTTCTGATTTTTCTTGTCCTGTGTCATTTTACCAGTTATTTCCTTGTTCATATCTTCAGTTAGCATGTTTTTATTCCCAAGAATATCCTCTAGGAAAAAAATCTTTTGGTTCTACATCATATGTGCTTTGATCAATTTTCCATTAACTACTATCTCATTTGAATTACCCACATAAAGCTTCCTTACTCCAAACACCTGTCTGTGAACCACTGAGTTAGAATCTACTTCCAATATCTGATTCTTTAAATTCTACACATGTAATTCTGGTTTGATCTTAAAATCCTATAATAACTTCTAGAAATTACAAACTATAACTACCACAAAAATTTTAGTTTTTAATTATATTTCTACCTTTTCTTCTACTTATCTTCCTTTTAGTAGCTTTTAATGATACATTACATGGAAATAGTGGTGAAACTAGAACTGCTTGTCAGAACTAGTTTCTACAAACTAGAACCTCAGAGAGTAAATGAATCTCACATGCATTCTTTTATAAACACACAGAAATGCAAGCAATTTGTTCATTGAACTCTTCATTTGCAGGAGTAATTAAAAAACACACATACAAAAAAAAGACCAAATAAAAAAAAATGGCAGGTGCTCTAGGCCACATGCTCTAATCTCCATTTGCCCTAACTTTCCCCATAAGAATATAGTAATTCATGCAAAGCTGAATTAGAATCTTCTTAATGCATACATACATTGTAAGTATTAAGTATTTAAAAATGCAATACTGCTAGTCTTCTAATTTCAATTACACAAGGTACAAGGCAATTTAACCTTTCAGAGATAATCCTATCTACTTTGAATAATAGGAAATTTGGAGTTACAAAACACATAAGCTAAAAATCAGAGATGTAACTGTAATGCAAATAACATAATAATTATTATAATAGAGGAATGCACAGTGATGTGATAGCCCCAAAGAAGGAGCATTGGAGAATAATCTAGTGGGTTGCATAGCAATTTTCCATGCAGAATGAGAAGAAAATATGTCTAGGTTTGAAGTATAAAGAGTGTTGTTAGGAAAATAGAAAAAAGGCTGATGATAATCAAAGTTTACGGCCCATGTGAAGTATCAGAAAATTAGGCTACAAACTACGTAGAGGGATAAATTTGTGAAGGCTTGTAGTAGCAGGTGCTACCAGTTCCCTACCCAGATCTCCTTCCCCTTACTGGCATCCCCCAGCAAATGTTAGTGTTGGCCTCCAACAACTAATTGCTACACTCTTCTCAGAAGAACTGTCCCCTGGTCTAAAAGACTCACCTTTCTCATTGATGCTTTGGAGGTTACTCCTAGGGGCTGGCCCATTGTCAGTGACTGATGTGGGGTAGAAAGGAATGCATGGCCCCTTGGTCTTGTGTGAATGATTCTGTAGTGATATTCATGTTCTAGTGGTCTGTGTTTTTCAGGATTTGATCAGACAACTGATCATTTTTAGTTGTCTGGAATAAGTAATTTTGCATTAGACCTAAGAAATTGTGAAAGATCATGAAGTAGTCTAAGGAAGACAGTTGCCTCTGCATCTGGTGGTAGATTGAAGTTGTTAAAACTCACCAGAGTGGCTGTTAGTAAGAAGTTAGACATAAAGAACAAACTGGAGCTCACTAAGGCAGGCTGGAACCAAGGAACACAAACTGCAACCTGTGTCTGTCTCCCTCTGACTCCAATCATGATAATGTAACTGATCTGTCGATGAAGCTGGAGACCAACACCAGGAAGGTCTCTGCACATTCATCTGATCCAGAACTTAGGGAACTGAAGGAAGAAATCAAATGAGAGCATGGAACCAGCTGCTGTCTCCACTAGGCCTGTGAGCCACAAGATCAGCAATAACGGGAGCTATCTGCAACAGCATCTTGCGCCCTTCACTGACCTGCAGGGTAGAATGGCTGTTACTTACCTCTGCCTTCTAAATTTTATGCAGATATCACTTGTAGCCAATGATAAACCGAGAGATATAAAGGGGAGAGGATTCTGGAAAATGTAGTTTCAACTTAACTATGTTGATACAGTACAGAATGACGACAAGCTCCCCATAGTATCAGCTGAACACATAACTTTACTTAGACGTTACACAGACTTCAACTCAGCACACATCCTACTTTGATTCTTCTTCCACCTATTTTGCTTCCCAGATATCCACAATTCATGTGAAAGCATCACATTAGCAAATCCCTTACACGAGAATTCTGTCTTGGTCTCTGCTTCTAGATAACCCAACCTAAAGTGCCCCTCATCATGATAATGAATTGTGACTCTATTTCATAGGCAACAGGGAGATATTGATACCTATTTTTGTTCATTGGTGATAAACTTATTAGATAGGTGACACAGGATAATCAACGAACCAAGATGCCAAGGGTTTTAAAATGCGCTAATAAAATACTGCTAATTAAAATATAAAGCAATGCTTTCTGATTACTAACAATTATTAAATTTGCTAAAAGAGCTATTTATTTTTTAAATTAAGTAAACAGATTTTTATTATAAATTGGTATCACATTTATCAGTATCACGTTTGTGGATACATTAAAAAGGATTTTTTTTAATTTTTATTTTTAGAGACAGGATGTCACTCTGTTGCCCAGGCTGGAGTGCAGTGGCATAATCGTAGCTCACTATAGCCTCAAACTCCTGGGCTCAAGTGATCTTCCTGCCCCAGGCTCCACAGTAGCTGGGACAGGTGTACCATCACGCCTGGCTAAATTTTTAAAACTTTTTTGTAGAGATGGGGGTCTCGCTATGTTGCCTAGAATGGTCTCAAATTCCTGGCTTCAAGCAATTCTCCTGCCTCAGCCTCCCAAAGCACTGGGATTATAGGTATGATCACAACATTGGCCAAACAAAAAATATTATAATAAAAATAAATGGATTAAGTTATTTTCAAAACTTCCTCCTAATAAGTATCTAAATATTGAGTTATTTCTCAACTTAGAATGGTCAATGTCTATAATTTTATACACCAAATCTTCCTCTATGCCATCAAGAATATTGATAATACATTTCTTAAAGAATTGATGAAAGAACTAAAAGTCATTAGTGCTCAAGAGCTAAGTTTGCAGTCATGTAAAACTAGTTTACTTTTGACTTCCTTTTTAGGAATGTTGTTCCACAATTTTTCCTGAGATTTTTTTTTTAATGTCACCAACACCCATGCAAGTTATGATACTGAGACACTTGACTTTCAGATAGACACTAATAAATAAACTCATTATGACTGCCACCCGGCTGATGGTGATTGTAAAAAGTATTCTGATTTCAAATAACCTAAAGTATGAAAAATTGTTTACTTAGAACCAATCAATACACTGTGGTACCTGAAGATGAGTTGAAGGTGGATAGACAATAATTAGGATAACTGGCTAAGTGGCATTTGTGTTAATCCCAGCAAAAAATGTTAATCACCATTACCAGAACATAAACAGTGGCGATGAGAAGGGATTTGAATTACATTTAGGAGACAAAACTAGTGGGATATTTAGTAAAAAATATTTCTCTGTGAAGATGCTATTCACAAATTTATATTAAGTGTCCCAGAAATGATTTTGCATCAAATTCAAATGGATATACAAATGTGTATGTATATAAAGGCTGATACTCATTATCATAAAATTTGAAGTACTTTTAATAATTTTAGAGTTCTTGATGAATTTGTATATTTATACAGATTCCATTGACTCTGCTGCCCATATTAGGGTATCATTCTGACTACAAAAAGAGTAACTCCCATTCAACTGATTTCCATCTATTAATTACACAGTGATGTCGGACCTTAGTTTCTGGCCATGCTCCTATTCACAAATAACTTAGAGTTTCATTTTAAACAATATGCTCATGAGATATGATAATACTTTGCAATTCAGTACAAAATTGTTTTCCTATTCAGTTACTGGTTTAGATTTATTCTCTTCCACCTCATGATTAAACAGACAAATTGTACCATAAATATCCCTATTATTTTTTCTTGCTATGCCTTTCAGTGGGCTAAAGAAAACATCTTATTTGCATTAGCAATATCTCCAGATGCATGTATATGTCTGATATCAACAATGAAGCACATCCTTGGCATTAGTTATTTTAATATTTTTACCATAATTAAATTGTAACTTCAGAATTCCAAAGACAGTAATTGTTGTGGAATATACCTCAAGCAGATCATTTGACTAAGGCCTAATTTTATTGGCAGTATTCATTCCTAAAACTTTTTTTAAGTTACTTATAACTTGCTTATTTTACACACTGCTTCACCATACATTTTAATGTAAAATATTATTCTTTGGAGAAATTGCATGATCAAAATTTTAAGCACAACATTTATTGCTGGTTAATATATTGAAACAGAATGAAAACTTAGATCTCTGCTTATCCTCTCACATCACTTATGCTTACAACCTCTAGGTGAGGCCAGTAGATAGTCACAATATCAAATTAAATTTAAGCAGAATAAAACCTCATCTTTGGAATTTGTCAGTTCTTACAATTAACTTTTTCACTTGGTTTCAAAAATAAACTGTATATGTAACATCTGTAAAGAATCAATTTTCACCTGTGTGCACATGTATCTGTAATGCATATACTTATGTAAATGTTTTAAACTATCATAGAAACTTCAAACATACCTAAAAGAAGAGCAAATAATGTAATAAAATTTTGTATTTTCATCTTTCAGCTTCAGCAATTATCAACATTTAGTCATTTATATTTTAATACAATAACAGTTTCTACTGCAGCTATTAACCACAACTACCATTTGAAGACTAGTATTATGTGCCAATGTTTCACGTGAAGTTCTTAGTTTTCTGCAGTAGAAATAAGCTGGCTAATTTAAGTAGAAAATAACTTTATTTAATAGAAATAAATAATCTAGAAAAGGATCATAACATTCTTGAGGATAAGATATTCAGGAGCACCACTGAAAATCATGATAAAGCTTTCTTAAGTGCCACAGGAAATTAGGTGTAGCTTTTGCCTCTGCTACAACATTCACCAAATACAACTGACATAGACATTTAATTTATAACCACTAGTTCCAGTGATGTAATTAACAGCATCTAATACACGTCTATCCATAACTGCGACAGAGATTAGAAAAACAGGTAGCTGGCTTCTATGGTGAGAGGTGGTCTAAGAATCACAGAGTAGGATATTTCTCAAATATAGAAAAGGGGAACAGATGCTGGAAATTCAACATTGAACAATAACCACTTCAATCAGGCATCAGGCACTGGGCTAATTTCAATAAAAATGCATGTAAAATGTTTAGCCCAGTATTTAGCCTATAAGTTAGTCTCTCTCATTGTTCTCACTTCAGAGATAAAGTAATTTCAGTTAATTAACTTGCCCAGTGTTATGCAACCATTAAAAAAATGGAACACGGATACCAACAAAAATCTGGCTAATCCAAAGTCTGTGTGCTAAACACTGCACTATTTTTTAATTGAGAGTATTTACAAAAGCCATTTATTTCAATCAAATTATAATGTTACAATAAGACAGTGAAGGTCAATAGCTTGTCCAAAGGCATAACACCAGCAACTTCAGACAACCTTTACAGCAGATCAGACTATCTGATAGGATTTTGATGTACGATGATGCTTTTATAATAGTGCTTACTGTCTATTGATTGTGGTGATTGTGGTAAAGCTGGCATCCCTAAATTCAGAGTCTATCTTCACTATTAAATTAAATATCTAAAATACTCAGCATATCAGAACTGTAAATGACACAGATATAATGTCTAAACAAACAATCAAAACTCAGAACTCTATACAAAGAGATAGAAATGTTAATGGAACTTACCCAGAGATTGACAGTAGGCAAAACACCCATCACTTCCCAAGGAAGAACACCTTGATTTGTTGCTGCATTTGTTTGAAATCAATCTGAGACATTCAGGCTGAAAGGAACAACAATTCAATAAAGAATCAACACAATTAAATGAAGTTATATTTCACTTGAAATTATGCCAAGGGCCTTTCACATTCCAGTGCTCGCATACTGTAGACATATATTGGCAAAACATATATATGAAAGCATAGGAGAATGGAGACTTACATAAAAATTGGGATACAAATAGCAAATTATCTGAAAATATATTTTATGCCTAATAAATTTCTATTTCCAAAAATACATATAAAAGATGTACTTATTCTAGGTTCTTGAAGGACCATGAAATGAAAGAAAGCTAAGAAGATTTTAAATATATTTTTCTATTTACTTACAAACTTGTTAATGTCATATTGTTATATATTTACATGTTTTGTACCTATGCAATTACTTCCCTAGGAGGAAAATATTCCTAGAAATGGAATTTTGAGGTATAGAGGAATGCATTTAAGCCTTTTGGAAAATTGTTCCATCATGCCGTGTAGAATTATATAAAACTACAATGTAATAGTTGTATATAAAAATGTCCATTATTTAACACTTTACTTCATTGGTGTTTTTTAAAATAATAATTAAAAATACGCTTTAAATAAATAGTTATTTGATTCATATTGAGGAAAAATATTTATATCTAATGGTATTTATTTTACAATTTTGAATTGCCTGTTCATGTTGTTTCCTATTGTATTGGAGTACTTGTCTATTTTAAATTGCTGTTTAAGATCATTTTGTGGATCATGAAATATAATAATACATTGCAACATATTCTCCCCTCTTTACATGTTACTCGTTTATTTATTTATGTACTTACTTTCTTATTTATTTTGGTGTAAACATGTTTTAAACATGTGTTCAATTCTCGTATTTTCTCATAAAAGATTCTGTTATTGATACCACAATTAGAAATGTTTTCCCTGACTTGTATGTTATATAAATATTCACTCATAATTTCTTCATACATTATTTTGTGTGTTCATTTCACCACAGACTACTTTAATTTTTCTGAAATTCATTTTTGAGTTGTATATTCATTTTGCATATTGTATATATTACATTTTTCCAATGTTTGGCCATTTGTATGTCCATCCTAATTTGAAATGAAAGTAACGAGTTTTAGTATATCTATTCATATATACTTGCCTTTTTTTCCTTATTTCTTATTGTGTTTTAATGATCTCCTTTTGTTTTCACATATCAAGATATTATTCCGTCATTGTAACTTTATGCAATTGAGTAAAGTAAATAATTGTTATGTATTTTAATTTCTTGTATTTTCTATATTTGTTGGCATTATAAATAGGAATTTTATTTATATTGAAGATTCAGGGTTTTTTGATTTACCATTGTTTACATATGCATAATAAAATTGTCATAATGAAATTGTCATTTTCTTTCAAAAAGTTTGTAATATTTTTATCTTGTTCAGGTAGATAATCTTATTATATAAAAATATTGATTATAGGCTGGGCGCGGAGGCTCACGCCTATAATCCCAGCACTTTGGGAGGCCAAGGCGGGCGGATCATGAGGTCAGGAGATCAAGACCATCCTGGCTAACACGGTGAAACCCCGTCTCTACTAAAAATACAAAAAATTAGCCGGGCGTGGTGGCGGGCGCCTGCAGTCCAGCTACTCAGGAGGCTGAGGCAGGAGAATGGCGTGAACCCGGGAGGCGGAGCTTGCAGTGAGCCGAGATCGTGCCACTGCACTCCAGCGTGGGCGACAGAGCGAGACTCCGTCTCAAAAAAAAAAAATAAAAAAAATAATAATACATATATATATATATATTATAAATTGACTCACTTTTTTAACCTCATTGGTTCACACTTCCAGAATTATGTAAGATCAAGGCAGTGATAATGGCTACACTTGTCTTATTTTTGTTTCAAATGTAATGCTTCTAGTCTAGTGTATTGTAATTAAATGGTCTGAAGGCTTTCAATATTTCTACAATGAAAATAAAACATGTTTACATTTCAGTTTTATAGAGTTCTAATATTTAGGAATTGGATTTTAAATATTATCAAATATTCTGTCTACCTAAGCTTTTCACTTATGATAATTTATATTAAAAGATTTCCTAATATTAAACATTATTTCATTTCTTAAATGTACTGTACTAGTAACACTTTTTTTTTTTGAGATGGAGTCTCGCCCTGTCCCCCAGGCTGGAGTGCAATGGTGCAATCTCAACTCACTGCAACCTCCACCTCCTGGTTCAAACAATTCTCCTGCCTCAGCCTCCCAAATAGCTGGGATTACAGGCACCCACTGCCATGTCCAGCTGATTTTTGTATTCTTAGTAGAGACAGGGTTTCACCATGTTGGCCAGTCTGGTCTCGAACTCCTGACCTCATGATCCACCCACCTCAGCCTCCCACCTCAGTGCCGGGATTACAGGTGTGAGCCACCACACCCAGCCACTAGTAACACTTTAAAAATATACCTTTGGATTTAGTTTGCTAGCATTTATTTTTAAAGTAAGCATCTGTATTAATAGTTAATAGTTTAGCCTTTCTTCAGGCTTTTATTTTTATTGATTGAGGATGGCTTCCAACATGCATCTTCAGCTTATTACAGTAAAATTTCAAATAATATTATAGTCCTTTATGTACAGTGTCAGAAACTTCCAGCAGTTATATTTTTTTTTCTATCACAACTTTTGGGATATAAACCACACCATATGTTCTTAATAGATTGTCAATTATCTTTTAACATTAATACAAATAAGAAAACTTTATTTCAGATTGAAAATTATTTTTACTATTTCTGGTGAATTTTATTACATGGATACAGGTTTCCATCTGATACTACATTCCTTCTGCTTGAAAGAATTTCTTGTAATGTCATAATGAAGTTTTATTTCAAATATATTATCTTTTATTTCTCTGAAAAAGTCTTTTTTTACATTCAAATTTAAGAGAGATTTTTTATTGGGGATAGAATTCTGGGTTGACAGCTTTATTTTTCATTCAGTATCTTGAAGTTGTTCCATTGTCTCTCTTTTGCATTGTTTCAGATAAAAAAGTCTTTTGTAATTTTTTGTTTTTCCAAATACACTGTTATTTTTATACTGCCTTTAAGATTGCTTACTGGGCATTGATTTTCTACCAGTTTGACTATGTTATATCTAAGTATGCTTTTGTTTTGGTTTTTCTATATTCTGGTTGGTGTCCTCTGGGCTTTTTGTGGTTTGTTGCTGTTTCATTGATTTTGAAAAATGCTTGCTTTTTTTCACTTCAAATATTTCTTCTGCCCCATCATCTGTCTCTTCTATTTTTGGAATTTTAATTCCATATATACAACTGTCACACAGTTCTAATATTCTTTTCTTTAAATCTTTCTTCTTCTTTTGTTGTACTTTGAACAATTTATATTGGCATATCTTTAAGTGTACTGATTATGTCTCCAGTTCTGTTTAGTCTGCTATTAAAGAACATTTTACCCTTGACATTGTGCTTTGTTTTTCTAGTATTTCTATTTGCTAGATCTACTGGAATTTCTCATTTTTATAGTTTTTAATTTATCATCCAAAATTCTGTTTATCCATGTTGTCTAACATTTCTACTAAGTCTCTTAAATTTAATTATAGTTATTCAGGTTATACAGTTATTATTTTCTTGATTCTGTATTCTCTTCCATTTGTCTATTTGCCTATCCCTGTGTCACTGACACATTCTTTTAATTTTGATAGGTTTAAATACATCTAAACATTGACCAGTATACAAGTACTTCTAGGATTTTGATAAAGCTTATGTTGAATCTTTAATGTTTAAAACTTGACATTTTTAGTTCATTCAGCTTTATGATCTATAAACACAATACTTTCCTCCATTTGTTTATATAGTCAGTGATATCTCTCATAGTTTTTGGTACTGTTTTGTGTAGACATCTTAAATATCTTTTGCTAAATTAACTACTAGATATTTAATTTTTAATACTATAGTAGTATTATATTTTCTATTTATTTTTTCAATATATAAAAATCAAAATTAATTTTGTATATTGACTTTGTCACCAGCAATCTTAGTGAAATCACTTATAAATTCTATTAGTTTTCTTATAGATTATTTTGTGACTCTAATAAAATAAATTAGTAATTATTCTGTCCTTTTTTTATTCTGTGGAAAGATTTCTTCTAAGATTAATAAAGTTTCTTCCTTCAATTTTTGAAAGAATTTACCAGAGAAGCTATCTGAGCTTGGACATTCAGCTTTTCATACTGAAAATAAATTTAATAATGTATTTAATTTATTTAATATGTGTGGGAATATTTATATTTTCTGTCTTTTCTTGTTTTAGTATTCACAAAGTATATTTTTTCCTAAAATTTTGCCCTTTTTGACAGAATTGTCTAATTTACTAGCATAAAGATATTTTATGTACTATCTTTTTTACCATATTCATAGAATCTGTAGTAATGTCTCTTTTTTCACCCATGATATTAGTAATTTGTGTTTTCTCTTTTTTCCTGATCACTATTCCTAAGGAATTATTGATTTTATTAATAGTTTTACTAAATCAAGTTTTGTCTTTGTTAATTTATCTATTGTATGAGAGAGAGAGATAGAGAGAAACAGCTAGAAAGAGAAAAATAAAATTAATTTTAGCAATAGTCTTTATTATTTTCCTCATTCTACTTCTGAATTGGATTGGATATTCACTTGCTAATTCTTGAAACAGAAGCTTACATAACTGGTTTCAGATTTTTATCTTCTTAAAATTTATACATAGAATACTATAAGTTTCCTTCTAAGCAATGTTTCAGCTGAATCACACAAATTTTTATATGTTATATTCTCTTTAATATTAAGGTTTAAATATTATCTAGTTACCATTTTGATTTCCTCTTTAGCTTATATGTACATATCTAGAGAATCATATAATATATGAAATCAATAATATAAAATTATATTGCTTAATTTCCAAGCAGTTGAGGATTTATCTTTAGCTTGATTTCTAGTTTAATTTTATAATGTCCAAGAATGGTCTCTAAATAATTTCAATACCTTGAAATTTGTTAAATGACATAAGGTCAATATCAGAAAATGTTATATATTCCCGTGAAAAGAATACATGTTCTTTCATTGTGTTGAAATATTTTATATATGCTAATTAGGTCAAATGTGTTAATTGTATTATTCAGGTCTTACAAATATATATTTAACTTTCTCTCTACTTGTTTTAACAGTTGGTGAAATAAACATATTAAATGTTCCCACTATGATTGTGATTTAGCTATTCCTTTATTGAAATATTTCAGCTTTTTTTTTGCTATATTTTGGGGCTATATTACAGGCTATTCACATTTAGATTTAAGGTGTCTTCCTTTTTAACTTCTACATTATTGTGAAATGACAAGGGGACTTCAAAAAGTTCATAGAAAATTGAATTAAAATATAAAAATGAAAACAACCTTTATTTCTCAACGTAGCTTCCATTAATATTGAGACACTTTTGTAAGTGATATACCAGCCAATTGGTCTATCCCTAAAGAACTGAGGGTCCTGGGAACTTAACTATGTAAATGCAGTCTTTCTTACCATATTAATTGAAGAAAGATGGATACCTGTTTAAAATTTTTTTAAGTCTGGGAAACAAAAATAAGTCAGAAGGAGCCAAATCAAGACAGTAAGGTGAATACCTAATGATTTCCCATCAAAACTCTCACAAAATTGATCCCTTTTGATAAGAGGAATCAACAGGAGCATTGTTTTAGTGAAGAATTACCCTCTGGTGAAGTTTTCCTGGGTGTTTTTGGGGTGTGTGTGTGTGTGTGTGTGTGTGTGGTGTGTTTTGTTTTGTTTCCCTTTGTTTTGGCCCTCGAGAAAGTTAACAAGCAAATTCCTTGAGCATCCCCCAGAACTGCTGTCATGACCTTTGTTCTTGACTGGTATAGTTTTGCTTTGACTGGTCACGTTCATTCCTTGATAGCCATTGCTTTGATTGTGCTTTGTTTTCAGGATCATACTGGTAAAGCCATGTTTCTTCTCCCGTTAGAATTCTTCAAGGAAATGCTTTAGAAGTTTGATCCTACTTGTTTAAAATTTCCATTGAAAGCTCTGCTCTTTCCTGCAGGTCTTCTGGAGGCAAAGGTTTTGGTACTCATTGAGGGTAAAATTTGCTCAACTTCCATTTTTTAGTCAGAATTTTGTAAGCTGAACCAATTGAGATATCTATAGTGTTGGCTATTGTTTCCATGGTTAATCATTTGTCCTCTTCAATTAGGAAATGAACAAGATTTTTTTTTCACATATTAATGTGCATGGGCTGCCACTGCAAGCTTCATTGTTAACATCATCTCATCCCCTCTTTAAATGAGTTATCCATTTGTAAACTGCTGATCTGTTGGTGGGGCATTGTCCCTAAAACTTCTTACAAAGTATCAATAATTTAAGTATTATTCCAGTCAAGCTTCATCATAAATGTGATATTTGTTCTTGCTTTAATTTTTTTTAGCTTTTATTTTAGGTTCAGGGGTACATGTGCAGGTTTGTTATATTCGTAAATTGTGGGTTTGGTGTACAGATTATTTTGTCACCCAGGTAATAAGCATAGCACCCAACAGGAAATTTTTTGACCTTTATCCTCCTCCCACCCTCTGCCCTCAAGTAGGCCCTGGTGTCTGTTGTTCCCTTCTTTGTGTTCACATGTACTCAAAGCTTAGCTTCCATTTATAAGTGAGAACGTGCAGTATTTGGTTTTCTGTGTCTGCATTAATTTGCTTAGGATAATGGCCTCCGGTTCCATTCATGTTGCTGCAAGGGACATGATCTTATTCTTTTTTATGGTTGCATAACATTCCATGGTGTATATGTACCACATTTTCTTCATCCAGTCTCCCACTGATGGGCATTTAGGTTGATTCCATGTCTTTGCTATTGCAAAAAGTGCTGCAATGAACATACACATGTGTATGTCATTATGATACAATAATTTAGATTCCTTTGAATATATACCTAATAATGGGATTGCTGGGTTGAATAGCAATTCTGTTTTAAGTTTTTTGAGAAATCACCAAACTGCTTTCTACAACTACTGAACAATTTACATTCCCACGCATAGTGTGTAAGTGTCCCCTTTCTACAATGCGGCCAACAAGAATATGAAAAAATGCTCAGCATCACTAGTCATTAGAGAAAAGCAAATCAAAACTACAACTATATGTGATACTATCTCACACTAGTTAGAATGGCTACCATTATTATTTTTTGAGACAGAGTCTCACTCTGTTGCCCAGGCTGGAGTGCAATGGTGTGATCGTGGCTCACTGCAGCCTTGATTTCCTGGGTTCAAGGGATCCTCCCACCTCAGCCTTCCTTGTAACTGGAACCATAGATGTGCTCCACCATATCTGGCTATTTTTTTCTTATCTTTTTCTAGACACGGGGTTTTGCCATCTCTTCAAGCAGGGGTTTTACCCAGGCTTGTCTCAAACTCCTGGGTTCAAGCAATCCTGCCTCAGCCTCCCAAAGTGCTGGGATTACAGGCATGAGCCACCACACCCAGCCAGAATGGCTATTATTAAAAAGTCAAAAAATAACAGATACCAGTGATGTTGCAGAGAAAAGGGAACACTTAACACACTGCTGGTGGGAAAGTATATTAGTTCAGCCATTGTGGAAAGCAGTTTGGCAATGTATCAAATAATTTTAGCAGAAATCATGTTTCTCTGATAGGGGCTTTGTTCAAACTTATGTCTTATATCCTTCACATGCAATAACAAGCTAGTATGTTTGTTTTGCTGCCAACAAAAGAATTGAAATCCATGCATAATTTTTTCATCATACACATTGTCTATGAACTTTTTGAAAATATTTCATATGTCTTTAATTCTCATCTTAATGTTTACTTTTTCCAATACTTATATAGTTATGTTTACTCTTTGGTTTAGTCAACCTTATTACTTTCTTTGGTTTGCTCAGCCCTATAGCTTTATCTACAGTCTATACTTAAAGTGTACTTCTTTTAAGTAGTATATTATTGCTTTTACTTTTTGATTCAATTAGATAATCTTTGACATTTAGTATTTTATTTACTTTTAATGTAATTACTGATACATGTGGTTTATGTATACCTCTTACTATTTCTTTTATTTGACCTATCATATTTAATGTTTCCTTTTTTCCCTTATCTTTTAGATTAACCACTTATTATAACAATTTTTATTATCATCATATATTTGAATGTTATTTTCTATCTATTAAAGTTGATAATTATGCATTCTGTTCTTAGATACCATAAATATTACAATATATTTCACTGATTTATTACAATCTAATACATATCATTGCTTCCCCAATAGTAATAGTATTTGTTTTTAAAAATTATATAATTGGGTATCTTTGGAGAATTTTGATAACTTTTGAGTATCCAGTCTGCTGAATATATATTTTGGTTTGTTTAGTTTTATGTTTTTAATGGTGTAACAATGTCAATAAATTATAGAGCAGATTAAATAGTAGATTTTTCTTTTCAGTAAGAAAATACCTACCTATTAAATTCTGGAAGTAAAGAATGCTGTTTGTTTGTGGTTAGTGAAAATAGTGAATGTTGAAGACCATATTTTGCATAACAGATTAACAAGTTTTTAAAAAATTGAAACAGATTATATATGGAAGATGTTGATGGAAAAGATAAAGAACAGCTTCTATTCTGTAAACAATAAGGCTGTGGAATGTGTGTGCAGCTCACCAGTACTTACTAGTTTTAATTATCAGTTTCCAAGTCAGTACAGTGCTAGGGTTAAAACAATGGCTTTTAAGAAGATGTGAGTAGACGTTAGATGTGAAGTTCATACTATTACCTATAATTTACTGAGAGGAAAAAAAAGAGAAACCGCAGCTCCCTAAAAAGAATTAAAAACTTTTGCCTCAATCAGTTTTCATTCTAAATCACTTTCAATTCTTCCAAATCTGACCTCTTTTTCAATGATTGATTGAGATCAGGATAAAAATCTACTATGATGTAACCTATGAGAACTTCTTAACACAGGTGTCAGTATTTTGTAAGACAGTACAATTTGTTTGAAAGCTAAAAAAAAAAAAAAATCTCAAGTTTTCTGCTTTTATTTACTAGATGAATTTATCTGTGACATGTCCAATGTTCAATTTATCTTTGGACTCGGTTTTACCTATCAAACCCTAAGCCACAGTGTTATATTTAAGGGTTGAGTATACTGTATTTGAGGTTGTAGTGAATTATCCAATTAGACGTTATTCCACTGATTCTTCTTATTGACTACAGCCACATGGATATTTGATTTCCATATTTGCTTCACAAATCAACTGCAAAGTTATGAAACAATATGTTTAATGACTATTCCACTCTAAGAACACTAACATAAAAATATTTTCTTTGCTCTGTACCCCAACCCCAATTTCTAAAGCCTTAAACTTTGAAACATACTTATTCTTCTGTATCAACCCTGTACTGATTCAGCCCTCAAGCACTTTAGAATGTTTATTCTCCATTTTGTCACATTACCTCTGCCTTATTTTTGCAATATCCTTTTGGCCAGTCTTCCACTGTTTTCTTCATATTCCAATCCTAATATAAATCAACATGTGCCAAATTGTCTCTCCCAAAACATCATTAAAAATATTTCTGGCCAGGGATGATGGCTCATGCTGGTAATCCCAGAGACTTGGGAAGCCAAGGCAGGAAGATCATTTGAGGCCAAGAGTTCAAGACTGCATTGAGTCATGAGCCCGCCACTGAACTCCAGCCTGGGTGACAGAGCAAGACCTCATTTCTAAAAAATATTTTTAAAACATTTATTCAGGCATGGGGGCATGTGCCTGTAGTCCCAGCTACTTGGAAGGCCTAGGTAGGAGCATTGTCTGAACCCAGCAGTTGAAGACTGCAGTGAGCCATGATCGTGCCACTGCAATCCAGTCTGGGTTGATCAAGACCTCAACTCTAAAAAAAAGTAAAATAAAATAAAATCTTTTCTTCCTTCCTTTCTTTGCTTCTTCCTTCCTTCATTTCTTTTCTCATTCTGTCCAAAAGTCAGACAGAAAAAGGTGGGAGTAAAGGTGGGAGTTCATATAATAGATGGGTATAGCATTGGTGTCTTTGCAAGGTATGGAGTTGATAAGGGGGACATCTACACTGGGGGAAGTAAGACCTGAGTGTGTGAAGATGGGAGATAGATGAAATTGTACATTTGTTTTCAGAAATGAGAGTTATAAACATGATAAAGGGAATGATTTCAATAATCTCCGTGGGGTTGGCTTAGAACTTAAGCTTTTCGGTGTGAACTCATGGCGATATTGGGTGTGTGTGTAAATATATATATACAAAACTTTATATATATTATATAAAAATTATCTATTATATATAAAACTTTATAGATATTATATATATAAATTATATATAATATATAATGTGTTTATATAAATTATATATAATATATAATGTGTTTATATAAATTATATATGTAAGATATATATTAACTATATATGTTATATAAATGATATTATATATGTTATATATTTATATATAAATGATATATAAATATATATGTTATATATAAATGATATATAATATATATGTTATATATGTATATATAAATGATATATATGTTATATATTTATATATAAAGGATATATATGTTATATATGTATATATAAATGATAGATAAATATATGTTATATATGTATATATAAATGATATATAAATATATATGTTATACATGTATATATAAATGATATATAAATATATATGTTATACATGTATATATAAATGATATATAAATATATATGTTATACATGTATATACAAATGATATATAAATATATATGTTATACATGTATATATAAATGATATATATGTTATACATGTATATATAAATGATATATATGTTATACATGTATATATAAATGATATATATGTTATATATGTATATATAAATGATATATATGTTATACATGTATATATAAATGATATATATGTTATATATGTATATATAAATGATATATATGTTATATATGTATATATAAATGACATATCTATGTTATACATGTATATATAAATGACATATATGTTATATATGTATATATAAATGACATATATATGTTATATATGTATATATAAATGACATATATATGTTATATATGTATATATAAATGACATATATGTTATATATGTATATACAAATGACATATATATGCTATATATGTATATATAAATGACATATATATGTTATATATGTATATATAAATGACATATATATGTTATATATGTATATATAAATGATATATATGTTATATATGTATATATAAATGACATATATATGTTATATATGTATATATAAATGACATATATATGTTATATATGTATATATAAATGATATATATGTCATATATGTATATATAAATGATATGTAAATATATATGTCATATATGTATATATAAATGACATGTATGTTATATATGTATATATAAATGATATATATTATATATGTATATATAATGATATATATGTCATATATGTATATATAAATGATATGTAAATATATATGTCATATATGTATATATAAATGATATGTAAATATATATGTCATATATGTATATATCAATATGTAAATATATATGTCATATATGTATATATCAATGATATGTAAATATATGTCATATATTTACATATCAATGATATGTAAATATATATGTTATATATAAATATATACGTTATATATTTATATATAAATGATATATAAATATATATGTTATATATACATGATATATAAATATATATGTTATATATAAATGATATACAAATATATATGTTATATATAAATGATATATAAATATATATGTTATATATAACATTATATATAATATATAATGTTAGCTCTGTCCCCTGAGAGGCCCTCAAAGTAGAGACCTCTTATAGCAATAAGATCATCTATCAGCACCTAGATATTAGTTTCTAAATATTATTCTCCACTAATTAAAACTAGGGTTCTTTGAGGAGGTGGTTGATTCTAGGGGTGGGGCATAAAGTACAAAATGAACCTGTAAGTAAGAAAATGCTCAGAGAATGTCTGCAACATGCTATTCTGGTTATCTATTGCTGCATGGAAACATAATGGTTTGAAACAATTTATTATTATCCCTCATGGTGCTATAAGCTTATTGCGCTCAGCTGGGTGGTTGTTGCTTAGTATTCTTCAAGTGATTGCATACAAATGGCAGCCATTGCTGAAATCACCTGAAGGCCTTATAAAACAAGATGCCCAAGCTAGCTCAATTACATAACTGGTAATTCATGCTGGCTGTTGTGTAAGAGTTCAGCTAGGGCTCTTTGCCTACATATGTCTTTTCCATGTAGCTTTAGATTCTTACCAAATGTTTCCTAGATTTTATGGGGAAGCATTATCAGAGCAAGTATTATGAGAGATTAAGGTAGATGCTACAAGACTTTTTAGCTTGAAAGTAACATGATGTCACTTCTGTTGCATTCTATTAGTTACCAAAAGCAAACCCAAATTCAATAAAAAAGGGAACTATACAAGTGTGTACTTGAATACATACTAGGAGGCCTGGTCCATAGGCAGGCCATCTTTGAATTCTAGATACCACAATCTTCCCTCTAGCTTTAATGAGTTACAACCCGCCCACAGTTAAAATACACTAAGGTAATCCAGCGAAACCTCCCCAAATCTAACTTGGGATGATATCAGGCATAAGCTTGATATTCAGGTGCAGATAAAGGTCCCAGGCTATGGTTTCTCAGGTGTGTTTCCTAAAGTGTGTAACAAACACTAGTTTAGTAAAGTATATAATGAATTTAATTGATTGACCTTATATTACAACACCAGAATCACATGTTGGAAATTAAAGGATAAAATACTACCTGATACCAGAATTTAAGTAGGGTATTTAACAAAATGAAATAATTACATAGAAAAAGAAAAACTGGAAGCAGCCGGGCACGGTGGCTCACGCCTGTAATCCCAGAACTTTGGGAGGCCAAGGTGGGTGGGTCACGAGGTCAGGAGTTTGAGACCAGCCTGGCCAACATAGTGAAACCTCATCTCTACTAAAGTACAAAAATTAGCCGGGTGTGGTGGCATGCATCTGTAGTCCCAGCTACTCGGCAGGCTGAGGCAGGAGAATCACTTGAACCCAGGGGGCAGAGGTTGCAGTGAGCCAAGACCATGCCATTGTACTACAGCCTGGGTAGCACACACACACAAAAAAAACTGGAAGTATGTTATGGAAGAATTTGGAAGATAAATCAGTGGTTCACCACTACTCCTGTAAAAGGCCATATATTAAATATTTTAGGCATTTTGAGGCACATACGATATTCTTTTTCTGTTCTTTTCATAACCTCCTAAAAAATGTAAATTCGTTCTTAGCTGGTGGGTTACATAACAATAGGCCATGAACCAGATTTGACCTTTGGGCCATAGTTTGTCCACCTCTGTGCTACATCAATAATTAGTAAATACTAGAATTATGGATGAAATATATCAACTTTGGTCCTTCATATAATTTGATTAAAATAGCAAAAATAAAATTTATGAGCAAATTTATTTTAATATTTCCTAGTTATATGTGAGATCTATATCTCAAATATATAGATTTTGAAAATATATCTGGTTATTATAAAATCCTTAAGTCAAATTATAGTTTATTGCAATAATAAAATTAGCATACCACTGTTCCTCAGAAAAGTGCCACTTAAGATTTTTTAGAGAATAGAAAAGGCGATTGTGAGGGTAATACATTCTAATATCAAGCCCAACCATAACATTTCCTGTCATGCAATTCTCCAGTGTATATAATTTGCTTTCATACTACTCCCTGCTTAGTTACTAAATATTTCACTTGAACTGCCGGGGGTTGTTCATCTACCAGGCAGTCTGCTGAGGAAGCAGATGCAAATCGTGCTTGGTCATCACACTCTCGCACTTTCTAATGGACAAACTATAAAAGTTATTCATGTGGAGACTGTGTTTTCCTATTTGTTATTGAACCTGGAGTTAGCTGGCAATAGACTGATACTCCTTGAGTTTTAAGAACTGAACTGATGGAAAGAAAAGTTTTATTCAAGTTGTCTGTAGAGATGAAAATCAATTCTAAATGGCAATTACTCACAGGAGGTTTTTTAGAAAGTGCTACTTCATGTCAGAGTAAAATTATTTTCTCTAGAGGAAAGGGACAGACGACCAATAGTGAGCACAAAAGATCTTACTTGTTATAATCAAATCAAAGATTGATGTGTCTCTTCTGAGGGGAAGTTGCATTGTGGTTTAAGAACACAGACATTGGAAGCTTGAATAGCTAGTTCAAAACCTCTCTCTACAGCTTTACTACATGGGATAAATTGGACAAATTGTGTAATTTCTTGTGTCTTACATTTCCTCTCTGTGAAACAGTAAAAACAATAGTATCTTCATGTAGGGTTCTTTAGAGGATAACATTTGTAATATAAGAAAACACCTTAGAATAATGCCTGGAAAAAAACAACTACTCAATAAATATTAGTCATTGCTATTTTTATTAGTTTGCAGTTTCTTAAAACAGAAAACATTGTTTGCATTCATACATTCACATGAGTGGTGTCTTTTTGAAATGTAAGAATAATAGCAATAACAAAAGTAGCAAGAAAATAAATAACTTAGTTAAAAATGGCAAATAAACTGAATAGGTATTTCTCAAAAGAAGACATACAAATTATCAATAGGTACATGAAAACATGTTCAACATCATTAATTATCGAGGAAATGCAAAATAAAACCACAATGAGATATCACCTAACACCTATTAGAATGGCTATCTTCAAAAACACAAAAGATAATGTTGGCAAGGATGTGGAAAATAGGGAAGCTTTGCATACTGTGGCAGTAATGTAAATTAGTACAGATGTTATGTAAAACACCATGCAAGTTTCTTAAGAAATTAAAAATAAAACTACCATATGACCCAGCAATCCCACTTCTGGATATATATGCAAAGGAAATGAAATCAGTATGTTGAATGGATATCTGCATGCCCATATTCATTGTAGCATTATTCATAGTAGCTAAGAGAAAATCAACCTGAATCCATCAACGGATGAATGAAGAAAGAAAATATATTACAGGTTTGTCTGAAGGTACTGATTCATCTCAACTGATTCATAGTCAGTTGCCGATCAAAGTCCTTGTTCTACTCTTTCTCAGTACTGCACTTGACTAGTGTCAATAAATAACAAAAAGAAAAGAAACTGTGATATATATATACACAACGGAATACTATTCAGCCTTTAAAAAGAAGGAGTAGTGGGTGGCCAAGATGGCTGACTAGAAGCAGCTAATGTGCACCATTCTCATGGAGAGGAACAGAAAGGCCAAGTAAATATAGCATGTTCAACTGAAACACCCAGGTACATGCATTGGGACTAATACTCGACTCATGGAGAATGGAGAAAAGCATTCAGGAGAGACATGGAGCCATGGGAACCTCCCTGGTCCAGGAAAACAGTGAACGTGTGACCCTAGGAACCCATGCTTCTCCCATAGATCTTTGCAACCCTCAGGTCAGGAGATCTCCTCCTTAACTCATTCCACCAGGGCATTCAGACTGACACATAGAGCTATGTGGATCTCAGCAGAGCAGTCATTCAGGCACATGTGAAGGCCTGGGAGCCTTAGATATTCCGGCTTTCACAGCTTCCTGGCAAAAGCAGCTGTAACTCTGGCAAAGTGGGAGGTTACACCCCCATACACACCCCAGGAAAGGGGCTGAGTCCAGAGGGCTGAGCAGAGGCAAACTGCAGGCCCTGCTTTCACCACACCTCACAGGATAAGACCCACTGGCTTAAAATTCTAGTCAGCTACCTGTAGCAGCCTTACCTCTCCCTCAGGAGAAGCTCCCAGGGGGAGGGGCAGGCCACAATCTTTGCTGTTTGGCCTACTTAGCTGATTTGTCCTTCAGGTTCTGGAGAATCCAAGGCAATCAGTGGCTGAAGTGGACCCCCAGCACAGCACAGCTGCTCTACAACAACGTGGCCAGAATGCTTTATAAAGTGGGTTCCTGATACCATTTCTCCACATTGGGTGGCCCAGCCAGGGTCTCCAGCTTCCCTGACTGGTGTTTTCTAGACAAAAGAGATTTCCAACCTCACTGGGATGGTGCTCCCAAGGAGGGGGCAAACTGACATCTTTGCTGTTTGGGCAACTTAGCCATTCTGCTTTGGAGAGCCCAAGGCCACTAGAGGCTAGAGCAGACCCTCAGCACAGCACAGCTGCTCTATAAAAATGTGGCCAGACTGCTTTTTAAGTGGGTCCCCAATCCCATTCCTCCTCACTTGGCAGGACCTCTCAACCAGGGTCTCCAGTCACCTCCTACAGGTGATTTCAGGCTGGTAACAGGTCCATACCTCCCTGGGATGAAGCTCCCAGAGGGAGATGCAGGCCATCATCTTTGCTGTTTTATAGTCTTCTGTTGATACCTCCAGGTACCAGAAAATCGAAAGTGACTAGGTGTGAAACAGACCCCAGCATGCTGCAGCAGCCCTAAAGAGAAGTGGCCAGACTGTTATGTGGGTGCCCATTCCAATATCTCCTCACCAGGCAGGGCTTTCAGGTCTGGGCCAATCAGCCAGGCCCTGCTGAGGCTATTGAGCTAGTAACAGCTCTGCAATTCCCTGGACAGAGCCCCCATGGGCAACTGAAAATCTCTCTGCCGCTGCCTCTGCAGTGGAATTGCCCTTGATACCCTCAGACTAATGAAGGAGCAAAAACCCTAAATGCCTTATCCACATCTCCAACAAGCTGCAGTTGACCCAAGGAGAGGAGGCCAGTACATCTTCCACAGGTCCCAGTCTCTCCTCTGCTCATCACCATACAAGAAACCCCTGGCTTGGGCCCACAGCACAGACCCTCCATCCTGGGCTGATTGCACTAAGTGATTGCTGACCTGCGTGCAATCTGGGGTGGAGCCCCCAGGAGACAAGCAAAAGACCCTTGGCCACAACCACTACAAAGGTCCCTTCCTCTGCTGCCTCCAAGTTGGGGAAGGAATGTAAACCCTGGGATTGCCCCAGAGCTGCAGTGGAAAGTCCAGTAGTCTGTCTTGGTCTACAGTCAGCACTCAAGAGGGAGAGGAGCCCACACCTTCAAAGCATTGAGAAGGAACATGGCTGCAAGTGTGAGGAAACTTAGGGGAGCCACACAACTGAGCAAGAGTTTAACAACTGACCAATACACTTAAGCATCCACCCTAAAGCTTCACCACCAAAAATACCTCACTAACATACCCCATCGTGAAACCAAAGACAAGAATTCAGCTTCGAATAATGACCCTGCCTTGGGGTCATTGACAAAGCATTGTTCCTGTGAAAATACCCAGAAAAGAAGTCTATTGACCATACTCAATGTACACTGCAGTTAAAAGAACACCCACATGCAGAGATGAGAAATAACCAATGCAAGAACTTTGGTAACTCAAATGGCCAGAGTATTTTATGTCCTCCAAATGATCGCACTAGTTTTTCCAGTAAAAGATCTTAACCAGGCTGCACTGGCTAAAATGACAGAAACAGAATTCAGAATATGGATAGTAATGAAGATCGTCAAGATTCGGCATGGAAAAACCTAATCCAAGGCAACTAAGAATGATAATAAAATGATAAAGGAGCTGAAGAATGAAATAGCTGGTATAAAAAGGAAGCTAACAGATCTGACAGAGCTGAAAAACACAATACAAGAATTTCACATGTAATCACAAGATTAACAGCAAAATAGACCAAGCTGAGAAATAAATTCACTGGTTCTCTGAAATAATACAGTCAGACAAAAATAAAGAAAAAGGAATGAAGATGAATGAACAAAACCTCTATGAGGTATGGGATTATGTAAAAAGGCCAAACCTATGAATCACTGGCATCCATAAAAGGGAGGAGGAGAAAGTAAACAACTTGGAAAGCATATTTCAGGATATCCATTAAAACTTCCCCAACCCTGCTAGAGAGGTCAACAGTCAAATTCAGGAAATACAGAGAACCCTAGCAAGATTCTACAGGAGACCATTGCCAACACACATCATCATCAGATTTTCTAAGGTCAAAATGAAAGAAAGAATTTTAAAGTTAGCTACAGAGAAAGGGCAGGTCACCTACAAAACAAACTCCATCAAGCTAACAGCGGATTCACTTCCTTGCACATTCCTACCCTGCATCCCAGTTTCTTCTTTGAAACTCAAGGAAGAGGCTGAGTGAAATAATAATATTTGAAAGCATCTCAAAAATAGCTATCATCCACTAAGTAACATGTGGCCTCGTGAATTCTAAGGTCACTAGCATGGTGCCTAACTTCTCCCAAAACATCTCAATACCTGACATTGGCAAGCTCACTCTCTGGGGTGCTGTACCTGTGGCCTCTCAAACTTTGCTTCTCTGTGGCATCCATAGCTGGATCTCTACAGTAACAATTTTTATGCTGTACAAGAACTGATAAACTACAGTGGCTTATCCTTCGGTAAAACACCTCTTCTTAGCTAAAAGAAGAGCAATTTAATTCTCTCCAAATTAAACTATTTTTCTGTAATTGTGGTCTTCTTGATAAAATTAGAAGGATTTGAAAGGAATAGAAAAGGGAATTTTTAGTAATTTTTAAAAAATTTTAATGCTTTTCTGAGTAACATTTAAAATTGTATTTCTCATACTTTGGGAAACACTACCATGCAGGAAGCTTTAGGGGAACACTAACACTTTAATTAGACTTTTGTATGGGAATAGAATTCAGAAATTTATTGAGTTTTAATTCAGTAATGTAGAAAAGGGAATAGTGCTAGCAAATGTACCAAATCAGGCATATTGACTAGTTGGGTTTGCTTGGTGGTAAAATGACTGAAGAGCTCTGCCAGTCATATCGTACAAGGCCTCAAATTCCAAGCTAAGCAAGATGAACTACATGCAATAGTTATCCTGAAAGGATTTTGAGAAAGAGTAATATGCACAGCTAATGAGGCTCAATCCAGCATAGACTCAAGAAGGAAGACCTGAATGCAGGGAAACCACTGCCTTGGTAGTTACTGGATCAATATAAGGGAATCTACATATCGCTACTGTAAGTGGCAAAGGTGAAAGAGAGACTGTGAGGAAGAGGAGACAATGAGATGTACAAAGTTTCAAGATTGGTTGGCAAGGAACCTGCTGGTACCATGACAGAAAAGGAAAATTCAAAGGGAAAATAAGGTATAAGGGGAAACATGATATTTAGTTTTAAAAACAACAAATTTGAAAAGAAAACCATGGTATTCAAGTACAGAGTACTTAGTGACAGAAGTATTTTGACCTACACAAGTTAAATAATGAATGGAAATATTAGCCTGGAGAGTACTCCAAAAGATATACAGTATAGAAAAAGAAGAAAAGAGAGGGCACACAATGCGTTGGGTGGGAATAATGACAAATGCAGATAGTGAAGGCTGTGTGAGTACACAGCAGTGGGAGGAAGGTGAGGTCCAATCTAGTGTAGTGTTTTGGGACCAAAAAGGAAAGACAAGCTCAAAAGAAAGACTGGATTCTCTAGTGCTCAGTGCTACATAGACGTCAAGGAGATTAAGAACACTTAAACCCATACATTTGCCAAATAGGTGGTTATTTGTGTCCTTTAAAGGCAGAGTAATGAAGGCAAAGATTAAAATTAGGTAACTAATAAGAGAAAAGGGGGGCAAAGAGCATAAAGTATCAAATATGCTTAATTACATTTTGTGTCGAAGTTTTAGCTTTCACACTAAAATTAAATTCCTTAGAGGCAAGTATCAAAAATAATAATTACATGTTTTCCCATCAATTTGACATGATGACTTGCAAATGAGAAGTACTCAACACAGCATCACTGATTTATTGATTTATCCATCCATTCAACTGATAGTCATTAAGTTCCTACTGTATGCCTCCTACTCTTTGAGGTGCTGGAGCTATAACAGTTTGGTAGGAAACAATTCTGTCTCCTACCCTAGGGTCTTTCAGAGTAGTAGTGGAGACAGTTATAATGACCAATTATCACACATGTGAGAGCTCCCAGCAAAAGAAAAATCACACTTTGGTCTGGAAAGGTAAGTCAAAACTTTCTCGACAAAATATTCTAAAAGATCCTTATTAAAATGATAAAAAAAAGTCAATGGTACTTGAAGCATAATAAAACAGATCAAACTTTTAAAAGATTGAGGCTTCTTCAAGGAAAACAGTTTCCTCCAAGCATCCCGAACTTGCCTTAGAACTCCACTTCCCTCTTTGTCCTCAAAGGCAACTATTTTATGACATCATCAAAACCAAAGATTCAGTACATAAGTCATCTAATTCTCTGTATCTATCACAACCTAAAATCACTCAAAGGTTACGCACTTTCTCTTTAAAATAATGTGTGTGCACCCCACCCCCATCCCCTACACATGGTGAACAGCAAAGCTAAAGTTCATGTGGCAGGTAAAGCTAGTCTCTAAAACTCAGACTACAGCTGACAATAAGTTGCTGAAATGACTTTATGTAGTTCGTGATTCAGTCCTAGAAGAACTAATTTAAAAACAGGAAAGTGGGTTTGTACTGGAAATTGACAAAATTGCATGCAGAGATAAAAATTCAAGTACTTTTCTCTTTATGATAGTTTTGGATGCAGTTGCAAAAACTCATAAATTCCTAATGGTGCTGCAACTACACACAGAGATATCGTCTCCCTAACCCCTTGAATGCTGAAATTTGGATAAAATTCCTAGGAAATTCTTTACCGTTCTTATATTTTTCTCTAGCATTAAAATACCCAGGTCTTGGCTTAGCCTAGGACAATTAAGGAAGTTAAAAGAGGGAGAGATGAACTCTCACCCAAAATACTGTACTTAGAATATTACTGTGACATTATATCTACTCTTTTGAAAGCACGAGCTTCCAGCTTTTTGAAAACACTATGAACAATTCCTCTCAATCCTATAAAATTAAAAAACTATGACTAATTCCTGTTCATTCTATAAAATAACTATAAAACATCCCTTTACTCACTTTAGACCCCTGCTAATAAGTCTTTGAAGACTTATAAAGTCAGTGGGATCAACACTAAACTACTTGACCTGGAAGTCAGACCCTTACAGACAAACTCTATGCTATCATTGTAATTTCACAACCAAGTGCTCCTGTCCTGTGTCTTTTACACACATTTTGTTGTTTCTTGCTTTCATGGTTAATTTACACCTGCCTTTTCACCTAGTCAATTCCCACCTAATTTCTCTATATGAGCCTCTGAAATTTCTTCATAAAACCTTATCAGTCTATTCATGTTCAAATTGCATCTCTCTCCTCTGAACTCCTAAAGCACAATTAGATGCACCATTTGGTGGTGTTGATAACAACCAATCATGAAGTCATTTGCAGTCATAAAATAGTGGCTAACTTTCATTGAGTGGGAATTTCTTATGTTCTACCTTCCTTCCTAGGCTGTAGCCTCCTGTTCTTCTGCTCAGCATCTTCTACCCCCCTTTTTATTTTTCTTATCCAAAAAAATTCTATTCAATTTGTAAGCCAGGTTTTCTTTTAAAGTTTGTTTTCTACAAAGCATGCCTAAAAACACTCTCTTTTATCTCACATTATTTATTAAGGTATTATTTTAAACCAATATTTAAGTTCAGATCTGGTTATAACTAGTAAAATTATACATCATATAATTTTATAACGATTTATTTATTTATAAATTGTATAAATAAGTAATATAATAAGTTTATATACACACATGCACACACACCTAATATATGAACTAACTTCTTAGAACTAGTTAAATAATAACCTAAAAGCAAATACCGGGGCAGGGCCAAGATGGCTGACTAGAAGCAGCAGCGTTCAGAGGCTGTTATCAAATAAAACACAATAGGTGTGTGAAGACTTCACCAGAAACCAAGGTATCCAGGTTCTCTCATCAGAACGGATTAGGAGGCTGGCATAACCCACAAAGAAAATGAAGAACAGTGTGGTGCAGCAGCCTACCTGAGAGCCACATGGGGCAGGGGGGCCCCCTCCCACCAGCCAAGGGAAGCAATGAGTGAGCGTGCTACCCAGCCAGGTATGCCATGCTTTTTTCCACGGAACTGTGCAACCCACAGATCAGAAGATCCCACTAACGAAACCATGCCACGGGACCTAGCATCCCAACCCCAGAATGTGCAGATTCTCGACAGCCTCTCAGCTGAAATCTGCTTAAGCCTACCGAACCTGTGGAGAGGGTAGACCAGCACTACAGCTGTGGCTGCCTGCTGTCTACACCATTTGAGATCCTTGGGGGAGGGGTAGGAACAGCACTGGGGCTCACAACTGCCTAACACTCTAAGCTCTCTGGGTTGAGGAAGGGTGACATACATCTCTATAGCTTCAGGCTGCGCTTTTCCCCTGCTGGAGCCAGGGAGACTGGATAGTTTGGTCCCAAGACATGTCTCCCACAGCCCAATACACTGGCTGTGGCAGTCTGTGGCCAGGGTGCCTCTTCAGGTCTGACCCTGACGCATCCTTCCTTCTTGGGTGGGGCTTCCCTGCAGGAACTCCAATAACTCCAGCCAGAGGCTTAGGGACAGAATCCAGATCTCCCTAGACCTGAGCCCCTAGGAGAAGGATTGGCCACAGTCTCTGCAGATCAATAGACTTAGCTTTTCCTCCTGGTGGTTCTGAGGAATCTGGGTAGCCCAGATGAGTGGGATCCCCCCAGCAAAGCACATCCCCTCCACCAAGGGACAAAGTGCTTTGTTAAATGGGTCCTATTTCCCATGCCATCCAATTGGGTGAGACCCTCCAACAGGGGTTGTCAGACATCTTATACAGAAGCGATCCTACTGGCATCAGGTTGGTGCCCCTCGAGGTCAGAGGTCCCAGGAGAAGGAGCAGGCACCCATCTTTGCTATTCTGCAGCCTCCTTGAGTGACATCTCCAGGCACAGGAGCAAATCAGATGAATAGGGCCTGAAGTGAATCCCCAGAAAACTGCAGCAGCCCTACAGAAGAGGGACCTGCCATTGAAAAAAAACCCAAATAAGCAGAAAGCAACAACAACAGCATCATTAACAACAACAACAACAAAAGCCCCCAAAAAAACCCTATCCAAGGGTCAGCAACATCAAAGACTAAAACTTGGCAAACTCACAGAGATGAGAAAGAATCAATGAAAAAATGCTGAAAACCCAGAGTGCCTCCTCTCCTCCAAATGACTGGGAAGTCTCTCTATCAATGGCACAGAACTGGACAGAGGATCAGATGGATGAATTGACAGAAGTAGGCTTCAGATGATGGGTAATAAAAAACTACACTGAGCTAAAGAGCATGTTTTAACCCAATGCAAAGAAGCTAAGAACCTTGATAAAATGTTAGAGGAATTGCTAACCAGAATAACCAGTTTAGAGAGGAACAGAAACAACCTGATGGAGCTGAAAAACACAGCACAAGAACTTCATGAAGCATACACAAGTATCAATAGCCAAATTGACAAAGTGGAAAAAAGGATATCAGAGTTTGAAGACTACCTTGATGAAATAAAGCATGCAGACAAGACTAGAGAAAAAAGGATGAAAAGGAATAAACAAAGCCTCCAAGAAATATGGAACTTCATAAAAAGACTTAACGTACAATTGATCAGAGTACAAGAAGGATATGGGAAGAATGGAAATAAGCTGAAAATCACACTTCAGGATATTATCCAGGAGAACTTCCCCAACCTAGCAAGACAGGACAACATGCAAATTCAGGAAATACAGAGGACACCACTAAGATATTCCATGAGAAGATCAACACCAAAACACATAATCATCTGATTCTCCAAGGTCGAAATGAAGGAAAAAATGTTAAGGGCAGCCAGAGAGAAAGGCCAGCTCACCTATAAAGGGAAACCCATCAGACTGACAGTGGACCTCTCAGCAGAAACTCTACAAGCCAGAAGAAATTGGGGGCCAATATTCAACATTCTTAAAGAAAAGAATTTTCAACCCAGAATTTCATATACAGCCAAACTAAGCCTCAGAAGCAAAGGAGACATAAAATCCTTTCCAGACAAACAAATGCTGAGGAATTTTGTTACCACCAGGCCTACCCTGCAAGAGCTCCTGAAAGAAGCACTAAATATGGAAAGGAAAAACTGGTACCAGCCAAAATGTAAAAGGGTTAAATGCCCCAGTTAAAAGACACAGCCTGGCAAATTGGATAAACAGTCAAGGCCCATCCGTGTGCTGTATGCAGGAGATCCATCTCACGTGCAAAGACACACATAGGCTCAAAATAAAGGGATAGAGGAAAATTTACCAAGCAAATGGAAAGCAAAAAAAGCAGGGGTTGCAATCCTAGTCTCTAACAAAACAGAATTTAAACCAACAAAGATCAAAAAAGACAAAGAAGGCATTACATAATGGTAAAGGGAACAATTCAACAAGAAAAGCTAACTATTCTAAATATATATACACCCAATAAAGGAGCACACAGACTCATAAAAAAAGTTCTTAGAGACCCACAAAGGGACTTAGACTCCCACACAATAATAGTGGGAGACTTTAACACTCCACTGTCAGTATTAGACAGGTCAATGAGACAGAACATTAAAAAGGATATTCAGGACTTGAGCTCAGCTCTGGATCAAGTAGACCTAGTAGATGTTCACAGAATTCTCTACTTCAAATCAAAAGAATATACATTCTTCTCAGTGCCACATGGCACGTACTCTAAAATCTACCACATAATTGGAAGTAAAACACTCCTCAGCAAATGCAAAAGAACTGAAATCATAACAGTCTCTGAGACCACAGTGCAATTAAATTAGAACTCAAGATTAAGAAACTCACTTAGAACCACAAAATTACATGGAAATTGAACAACCTGCTCCTGAATGACTCCAAGGTAAATAATGAAATTAAAGCAGAAATCAAGAGGTTCCTTGAAACCAATGAGAACAAACAGACAATGTACCAGAATCTCTGGAACACAACTAAAGGAGTGCTAAGAGGGAAATTTATGGCACTAAGTGCCCACATCAGGAAGGTAGAAAGGTCTCAAATAGACACACTAACATCAAAATTAAAAGAGATAGAGACGCAAGAGCAAACTAGCCCAAAAGCTAGCAGAAAACAAGAAATAAATAAATGAGAAAATAATTGAAGGAAATAGAGACATGAAAACCCCCAAAATAATCAGTCAATCCAGAAGCTAGGTTTTTTGAAAAAAATTAACAAAATAGATAGACCACTAGCTAGACTAATGGAGAAAAGAGGAAAGAATCAAATAGACACAATAAAAAATGATAAAGGAGATGTCAACAATGATCCCACAGAAATTCAAACTACCATCAGAGAATACTATAAACACTTCTAATACAAATAAACTAAAAACCTAGAAGAAAAGGATAAATTCCTGGACACATACACCCTCCCAAGACTAAACCAAGAAGAAGTCGAATGCCTCAATAGACATTAACAATTTCTAAAATTAAGGCAGTTATTAATAGCTTACCAACCAAAAAAAGCCCAGGACCAGATGGATTCACAGCTGAATTCTACCAGAAATACAAAGAGGAGCTGGTACCATTTCTTCTGTAGCTATTCCAAACAATTGAAAAGGAGGGACTCCTCCTTAACTCATTTTATGAAGCCAGCATCATCCTGATACCAAAACCGGAAAAAGACATGACAAGAAAAGAAAAATTCAGGCCAATATCCCTGATGAACATTGAAGTGAAAATCTGCAATAAAATACTGGCAAACGGAATCCAGCACCACATCAAAAAACTTATCCACCACGATCAAGTCAGCTTCATCCCTGGGATGCAGGGCTGGTTCAACATATGCAAATCAAAAAACGTAATCCATCACATAAACAGAACCAATGACAAAAACCACATGATTATCTCAATAGATGCAGAAAAGGCCTTTGATAAAATTCAACATCCCTTCATGTTAAAAAACTCTCAATAAACTAGGTATTGATTGAACATATCTCAAAATAATAAGAGCTATTTATGACAAACCCACAGCCAATATCATATAGAATGGGCAAAAGCTGGAAGCATTCCCTTTGAAAACCAGCACAAGACAAGGATGCCCTCTCTTACCACTCCTATTCAACATAGTATTGGAAGTTCTGGCTAGGGCAATCAGGCAAGAGAAAGAAATAAAGGGTATTCGAATAGGAAGAGAGGAAGTCACACTGTCTCTGTTTGCAGATGACATGTTTTTATATTTGGAAAACCCCATCATCTCAGCCCAATAGCTCCTGAAACTGATAAGAAACTTTAGCAAAGTCTCAGAATACACAATGTGCAAAAATTATAAGCATTCCTTTACACCAACAATAGACAAGCAAAGAGCCACATCATGAATGAACTACCATTCATGATCACTGCAAAGATAATAAAATACCTAGTAATTCAGCTAATTCAGCTAACAAGGGATGTGAAGGACCTCTTCAAGGAGAACTACAAACCACTTCTCAAGGAAATAAGAGAGGACACAAGCAAATGGAAAAACATAGGATCCTCATGGACAGAAATAATCAATATCATGAAAATGGCCATACTCCCCAAAGTAATTTATAGATTCAATGTTATTCTCATCAAACTACCATTGACATTCATCACAGAATTAGAAAAAACTACTTTAAATTTCATATGGAATCAAAGAAGACCCCATTTAGCCAAGACAATCCTAGGCAAAAAGAACAAAGCTGGAGGCATCATGCTACCTGACTTCAAACTATATTACAAGGCTGCAGTAACCAAAACAGCATGGTACTGGTACCAAAACAGACATACAGATCAATGGAACAGAACAGAGACGTCAGAAATAATACCACACACCTACAACCATCTGGTCTTTGACAAACATGTCAAAAACAAGCAATAGGGAAAGGATCTCCTATTCAGTAAACGGTGCTAGGGAAACTGCTAGCCATATGCAGAAAACTGAAACTTGACTCCTTCTTTACATCTTATACAAAAATGAACTCAAGATGGATTAAAGACTTAAATGTAAAACCTAAAACCATAAAAATCCTTGAAGAAAACCTAGGTAATACCATTCAGGACATAGGCATGGGCAAAGCCTTCATGACAAAAATGCCAAAAGCAATTGAAACAAAAACCAAAATTAACAAATGGGATCTAATTTAACTAAAGAACTTCACAGCAAAAGAAACTATCATCAGAGTGAGCAGGCAACCTACAGAATGGGGAAAAATTTGGAATGTACCCATCTGACAAAGGTCCAATATCCAGAATTTACAAGCAACTGAAATATATTTACAAGAAAAACCAAACAACCCCATCAAAAAGTGGGCAAAGGATATGAACCAACACTTCCCAAAAGCAGACATTTATGTGGCCAACAAACATATGAAGAAAAGCTCAACATGGCTGATCATCAGGGAAATGCAAATTGAAACCACAATGAGATACCATCTCATGCCAGTCAGAATAGCAATTATTAAAATGTCAGGAAAAAATAGATGCTGGTGAGGTTGTGGAGAAATAGGAATGCTTTTACACTGTCAGTGGGACTGTAGTTCAACCACTGTGGAAGACATTATTGTGATTCCTCAAGGATCTAGAACCAGAAATACCATTTGACCCAGCAGTCCTATTACTGGGTATATACCCAAAGGAATATAAATCATTCTACTATAAAGACACATGCACACCTATGTTTACTGCAGCACTGTTTACAATAGCAAAGACACGGAACCAACCCAAATGCCCATCAATGATAGACTGGATAAAGAGAATGTGGTACATATACACGATGGAATACTAGGAAGCCATAAAACAGAATGAGATCATGTCTTTTGCAGGGACATGAATGAAGCTGGAAGCCATCATCCTCAGCAAACTAACACAGGAACAGAAAACCAAACACTGCACATTCTTACTCATAAGTGGGAGTTCAACCACGAGGACACATGGACACAGAGAGGGGAACAACACACACCAGGGCCTTTGGGGGTTGGGGGGTGAGGGGAGGGAACTTAGAGGATGGGTCAATAGGTGCAGCAAACCACCATGGCACATGTATACCTATGTAACAAACATGCACATTCTGCACATGTATCCCGTTTGTTTGTTTTTTTTTTAAGAAATAAAAAACAAAAAATACCTATCACCCTTAAAAAAGATCATCCTAAATTTTGAGAATTCAAATTCGAACCTTGTATTACAATTGTAATGTTCACTCTCCTTAAAATAATCATCCTCCATGAGATGAAGAAAAGAAATATTTCTTAGGGACTCTACGTCTCAACAAACCATGGATCTCCCAAGCAAAAATCACCATTCAGAAATGAAACTTGGAAGCCTTCTAATCACAGGATGATACTTTTCCCCTGAAACCAGTACTGAGATGAATCTGTCTCTCCATTCTATTTAGTAACTGAGCCTTGTTTCAGGTTTTTCTAGAGTCAGGTAGTTTTCTTTCAGAACAATGTGCTACAGATCTAATACACGTAGATTTATACAAGGCGATAAATCTTGACAAAACAGTACACAGCAGTTCAATTAACCAGCTTCAGGGGAACCTAAAGTGATTGCAGGTTTGAGGCTACCTTTATTATCTGAGGGTAAATGCATCAGTATTAAGTGGTCCTTTGGTAACTACATTCAATACAAACCTAGCCAACAGAGTTTCTGAGTAATAATCGAAAATGGAAAAACCATTTAGTAATAGTAAATATAATATTCTGAAAACCCAAACCAATAAAAATACTTTCAACCTTTGTTATTTGACTTAATATATTAAAGACAAGAGCAAGAAACGAGAAGTACAAGTTATAATAGATTAAAAGTCACTAAGTGTCAGATTAAGAAAGGCAAGTTTGATTGGGTATAGATAAATTGAATTATGTGTCTAGAGAAACTTTTACTTTTCCCCATGACTAGAAATAACTATTTTTAAAAAGTCAATCCTGAAGAGAAAGAGACCATTCTGTAAAATGAATGATCAATTCCTTTGTATGTGGATTTTATCATTCTAGGCTGCAGGGGCTGTCAACTTTCAGTGTTCCAACAAGCCCATTCTGTCAAGTAAGTTCTGGATACAGAATCATGAATGAACACTGATGCCCCTAACCAGCTTGATCAGATTGTGTCAGAATATGTCATCTCTTTCTCTTTGGGTCTGTAAGGTTTCTGCTGAGATGTCCATCTTAGTCAAATGGTGTTTCTTTTATAAGTGACTAGACATTTTCCTCTTGCTCTGTTGAATTTGCTCTTTCACTTTGACTTTAGACAGTCTGATTATAATGTGCCATGGCAAAGACCTTTTTGCATTGTATTTGAGGATTGCCAGGCCTCCTGTGTCTGGATGTCTATATCTCTTGCTAGAATTGGGAAGTTTTTACCTACTATTTTGGTCATCCTAATGTAAATTCAAACAATAAGATGCTAGCAAAATGAATCAACCAGCATATTGGGATTTACACCAGGAATGCAAAGATCATTCAACATATGCAAATAAATAAACATGAGACATCACAAAAACAAAATGAATAAAAATCATATGATCATCTCAATAGATGCAGAAAATGCTTTTAAATAAAATTCAGCATGACTTTATAATAAGAACACTCAAGAAATTAGGCATAGAAAGAACATGCCCCAAAATAATAATAAAAGCCATGTAAAACAAATCTACAGTTAACATCATACTGAACGGGGAAAAGTTGAAAGCCTTTCCTCTAAGAACTGGAACAAGAGTGTCCACTTTCACCATCCCTATCCAACATAGTACTAAAGCTCTAGCCAGAGCAATCAGGCAAGAGAAAGGAATAAAAAGCATCCAAACTGAAAAAGAGGAAGTCAGAATTTCCCTCTTTGCTGATTATGTAATTTTATATTTAGAAAAACCTAAAGACTCCATCAAAAAATTCTTTTTTTTTCTTTTATTATTATACTTTAAGTTTTAGGGTACATGTGCACATTGTGCAGGTTAGTTACATATGTATACATGTGCCATGCTGGTGCACTGTTTGATAAATTCAGTAAAGTTGCAAGATATGAAATCAATGTACAAAAATCAGTAGCATTGTTATAAACTGATAATGGTCTAGCTGAGAAAGAGAGTGATAAGGCAATCCCATTTACAATAACTACAAAAAATAAAATGTCAGGAATTAATTTAAGGAAGGAGGTAAAAATCTCTACAAGAAAAGCTACAAAACACTGATGAAAGACCTTGCAGATGACACAAACAAATAGAAAAACATCACATGCTCATGAATTGGAAGAATTAATATCATTAAATACTACCCAAAGCAATATACAGAGTCAATGCAATCTCTATTAAGGTATAAGCATAATTTTTTACAGAATTAGAAAAATCAATCCAAAAATTCATGTGGAACCAAAAAAGAGCCTGATATGGTTTGGCTGTGTCCCCACCCAAATCTCATCCCATAATTCCTACATGTTGTGGAAGGAAACCAGTGGGAGATAATTGAATCATAGGGGCAGTTTCCCCCATACTGTTCTCGCCATAGTGAATAAGTCTCATGTGATCTGATGTTTTTATAAGGGGTTTCCACTTTCACTTGGTTGTGATTCTCTCTTGGTTGCTGCCATGTAAGATGTGCTTTTCACCTTCCACCATGATTGTGAGGCCTCCCCAGTCATGTGGAACTGAGAGTCCATTAAACCTTATTTTCTTTACAAATTACCCAGTCTCGGGTATGCCTTTATTAGCAGCATGAGGACAGACTAATAGAGTAAATTGGTACTGAGAGTGGGGTGCTGCTGTAAAGATACCTGAAATTGTGGAAGCAACTTTGGAACTGGCAAAGGTTGGAAAACTTTGGGGGGCTCAGAAGAAGATAGGAAAATGTGGGAAAGTTTGGAGCTTTCTAGAGACTTGTTGAATGGGTTTGACCAAAATGCTGATAATGATATGGACAATGAAATCCAGGCTGAGATGGTCTCAGATAGAGATAAGGAACTTGTTGGAAACTGGAGTAAAGGTGACCCTTGCCATACTTTAGCAAAGAGACTGGTGGCATTTTGTCTCTGCCCTAGAGATTTGTGGAACTTTGAACTTGAGGGAGATGACTTAGGATATCTGGTGGAAGAAATTTCTAAGTTGCAAAGCATTCAAGAGGTGACAAAGATGTTGTTAAAAGCATTCAGTTTTAAAAGGAAAACGGAGCTTAAAAGTTTGGAAAATTTGCAGCCTGATGATGCAATAGAAAAGAAAATCCCATTTTCTGAGGAGAAATTCAAGACAGCTGCAGAAATTCGCATAAGTAACTAGGAGCCAACTGTTAATCACCAAGACAATAGGGAAAATGTCTCCAGGGCATGTCAGAGACCTTTGCAGCAGCCCCTCCCATCACAGGCCCTGAGGCCTGGGAAGGAAAAATGGTTTCAAGGACTAAGCCGAGGGCCTCCCTGCTGGATGCAGCCTAGGGACTTCGTGTCTTACATCTCAGCCGCTCTAGCCATGGGGAAAAGTGTCAAGGGAGTGTAGAAGAGATGTCTATTACTTATATGGTACTCTAGTACAATTGTGAATGATAACCAGGTACATGTATTACTCCCTAGCTAGTGTAATTTACTAACAACAATTTTTTTATAATAAATATTTAATTTTGCTTCAGATTGCATGATCTATTGAGTGGTGATGGGATAATTCACAGTGTTACACTGTATATTGAATATTTGCATTTTTCAAAGTTTATGGACTATGTAAATCTGATGGAACTAATGATTTAACTTCTCTAACTAGGTAGCTCATTCTTACGTTTAACAATCTTAAGCATGATATGGTTAGAAACAGCTGCAGAGCCATAAAGTAAAATAGATGCCTGAGTCTTTCAAAATATACATCCGAATATACCTTCAAACACTTTTAAATATGATTGCCTCCAATAATATTCCCAATGACACCTGAAAATGTTCAAATCTAGAAGCAATGCAAGGTGAAATAGTTTATAAAACTAAATCACCTCTTGGTTTGTTGTTGTTGTTGATTGCACAGGAAATGTTGCATAGAATTCATGCTATGAAGCACTGAGATAAAAAGTCGCCAGAATTGAGGGAAAAGAGTAGGCATTCAGGTCAGTCATCTAAATTGTAATGGCTGTTTGGGAAACATTTTCATGCTACCCAGCAGAAAATCCAGTTCCAATATGAAGTAAAACTCTTGGAAACACTTTGGCATAGTGGCAAATTCATATGCATGACAGAGGAAGCACTTGGAGCACAGATCTGCTGAATTTGTTTCACTTTGTATTTATCCACCATAGCACAAGCACTAAAGGGAATTGGTGTTTTTAATGTACTATGTAAATGTTCTAAAGAACAATAATAAGTGAGAAAATCTGAGTAATCAATTTCATTCTTCTTTCCACTTTTAAAGAAAAATAAAGAAAATAAAACCTTTAAATTATGTCGAGAAAAACAGATGTTTGTGATTAAAACCACCTTTGCAAAAATTATGACAGTGAGAAAATTATGGCAGTGAAAGAGATCTGACGTAACCAACTTCATCTTGCCTTTAACTGCCAGACAGCCCTTGGTCATTCCTGGGCGTGGTCCAAACTAGCTTTGGGAGAAGTTTAGTTTATTGTTTAAATGATAATATCCCTTCTCAAAAAGCTAAATTGCCTCTGTAAAATTAATGAAAGCCCACCATAGTAGGAGTTTCAGAGGCATCTGAATTCATAAACAATTACCAACTATTATTCCAGAGATCACGAGATTTGCCACTTCCCCAAATACTCCTCCAAACAACATTGCTGTTGTAGAACCTATTTTTGGCCTTTTGAGATGTCTTTTCAGACTTTTGCATTTCTGATGACCAGATAGCCCCACTCAGATTAGTGACTCTTGTGGTCCCCACCCAGATTCAGACTCAGCTCAAGAGGGCTGTTTCACACACCCCTATTATTGCATCCCCAACCAACTCATTCCCTAGCCCACTGCCAGCCAAACTATCCTTGAAGAACCCTGGCTTCCGAATTTTAGGGGAGGTTGATTTGAGTAATAATTGAACTCTGGTCTCCTGTTTAGTGAGTACCACATCTTGATACATGTATCAAGATAACTTCTAGGGAGTTAAGCAAGATGGCCAAATAGGAACAGCTCTCATCTCATTGGGACTGGTTAGGCAGTGGGTGCAGCCCACAGAGGGTGAGCAGAAGCAGGGTGGGGCATTGCCTCACCCAGGAAGTGCAAGGGGCCAGGGACCTCCCTCCCCTAGCCAAGGGAAGTTGTGAGGGACTGTGCTTTCTGACCCAGATGCTATGCTTTTCCCATTGTTTTCACAACCTGCAGACCAGGAGATTCCCTCATGTACCTAAACAAACCACCAGGGCCCTGAGTTTCAAGCACAAAACTTGGCAGCAGTTTGGGCAGACACTGAGTTAGATGCAGGAGTTTTTTTCATACCCCAGTGGTGCTGGAACCCCACAAGACAGAACTGATCACTCCCTTGGAAAGGGGGCGGAAGCCAGGAAGCCAAGCGGTCTCTCTCAGCGAGTCCCACTCCGAAGCATGGAGCCCAGCAAACTAAGAACCACTGGCTTGAAATTCTTGCTGCCAGCACAGCAGTCTAAAGTCAACACGGAACTTTTGGGCTTGGTGAGGGGAGGGGCGTCTGCCATTAATGAAGCTTGAGTAGGTGGTTTTCCCCTCACAGTGTTGAGGAAGCCAGGAAGTTCAGACTTGGTGACTCACTGCACCGCAGCAAAGCGGTTGTGGCCAGACTGCCTCTATATTCCTCCTCACTGGGCAGGGCATCTCTAAAAGAAAGGAAGCAGCCCCAGTCAGGGACTTATAGATAAAACTCCCATCTCCCTGGGACAGAGCACCTGGGGAAGGCGTGGCTGTGGGCACAGTTTCAGCAGACTTAAACATTTATGCCTGCCAGCTCTGAAGAGAGGAGCGGATCTCCCAGCACAGCACTCAAGCTCTGCTAAGGGACAGAGTGCCTCCTCAAGTGGGTCCCTGACCCCTATGCCTCCTGACTGGGAGACACCTCCCAGCAGGAGTTGACAGACACCTCATACAGGAGAGCTCCAGCTGGCATCAGGTGGGTGTCCATCTGGGATGAAGCTTCCAGAGGAAGGAGCAGGCAGCAATCATTGCTGTTCTACGGCCTCCACTGGTGATGCCCAGGCAAATAGGGTCTGGAGTGGAACTCCAGCAAACTCCAGCAGATGTGCAGAAGAAGGGGCATGACTGATAGAAGGAAAACTAACAAACAGAAAGAAATAGCATCAACATCAACCAAAAAAAGTCCACACAAAAACCCCAACCAAAGGTCACCAACATCAAAGACTAAAGGTAGATAAATCCACGAAGATGAGGAAAAACAAGTGCAAAAATGCTGAAAATTCCCAAAACCAGAATGCCTCTTTTCCTCCAAATGAGTGTAACTCCTCTCCAGCAAGGGCACAAAACTGGACTGAGAATGAGTTTGACAGATTGACAGAAGTAGGCTTCAGGAGGTAAGTAATAACAAACTCCTCTGAGCTAGGGGAGCATGTTCTAACCCAATGCAAGGAAGCTAAGCACCTTGATAAAAGGTTACAGGAACTGCTAACTAGAATAACCAGTTTAGAGAAGAACATGAATGAACTGATGGAGCTGAAAAACACAGCACGAGAACTTCATGAAGCATACACAAGTGTCAATAGCCAAATCAATCAAATGAAAGAAAGGATATCAGAGGTTGAAAATCAAGTTAATGAAATAAAGCATGAAGCAAGATTAAAGAAAAAAGAATGAAAAGGAATGAACAAAGCCTCCAAGAAATATGGGACACCAAACCTATGATTGATTGGTGTACCTGAAAATGATGGGGAGAATAAAACCAAGTTGGAAAATACACTTCAGGATATTATTCAGGAGAACATCCCCAAACTAGCAAGGCAGGCCAACATTCAAATTCAGGAAATACAGAGAACACCACTAAGATACTCCTCGAGAAGAGCAACCCCAAGAAACATAATCATCAGATTCTCCAACAAAGCTGAAATGAAGGAAAGAATGTTAAGGGCAGTCAGAGAGAAAGGCCAGGTTACCTATAAAGGTAAGCCCATCAGACTTACAGTGGATCTCTCTGTAGAAACCCTACAAGCCAGAAGAGAGTAGGGGCCAATATTCAACATTCTTAAAGAAAAATTTTTCAAGGCAGAATTTCATATCAGGCCACCCTAAGCTTCATAAGCAAAGGAGAAATAAAATTCTTTACAGACAAGCAAGTGCTGAGGGATTTTGTCACCACCAGGACTGCCTTACAAAGCTCCTGAAGGAAGCACTAAATATGGAAAAGAAAAACCAGTATCAGCCACTGCAAAAACATACCAAAATATACAGACCAATGACACTATGAAGAAACTGCATCAACTAATGTGCAAAATAACCAGCAAGCATCATGATGACAGGATCACCTTCACACATAACAATATTAATCTTAAATATAAATGGGCCCCAATTAAAAGACACAGACTGGCAAACTGAATAAAGAATCAAGACCCATCCATGTCCTGTATTCAGGAGAACCATTTCACGTGCGAAGACACAGATAGGCTCAAAATAAAGGGATGGAGGAGTATTTACCAAGCAAATGGAAAGCAAAAAAAAAAAAAAAAAAAAAAAAAAAGCAGGGATTGCAATCCTAGTTCCTGATAAAACGGACTTTAAACCAACAAAGATCAAAAAGACAAGAAAGGGCATTTCATAAAGGTAAAGGAATCAATGCAACAAGAAAAGCTAACTATCCTTAATATATATACCCACAATACAATAGCAACCAGATTCATAAAGCAAGTTCTTAGAGAATGACAAAAAGACTTAGACTCCCACACAATAATAGTGGGAGACTTTAACACCCCACTGTCAATATTAGACAGATCAACAAGACAGAAAATTAACAAGGATATTCAGGACTTGAACTCAGCTCTGGACCAAGCAGACCTAATAGATATCTACAAAACTCTCCACCTAAAATCAACAGAATATACATTCTTCTTAGTACCACATAGCACTTATTCTAAAATCAACCGCAAAATTGGAAGTAAAACACTCCTCAGCAAATGCAAAATAACAGAAATTATAACAAACATTCTCAGCCCACAGTGTAATCAAATTAGAACTCAGGATTAAGTAATTCACTCAAACCGCACAGCTATGTGGAAACTGAACAACCTGATCCTGAATGACTACTGGGTAAATAACAAAATTAAAGCAGAAATAAATAAATTCTTTGAAACCAATGAGAACAAAGACACTATGTACCAGAATCTGTGGGACACAGCTAAAGCAGTGTTAAGAGGGAAATTTATAGCACTAACTGCCCATATCAGAAAGCTGGAAAGACCTAAAATCAACACCTGAACATCACAGTTAAAAGAACTAGAGAAACAAGAAGCTAGCAGAAGACAAGAAATAACTAGTATCAGAGCAGAACTGAAGGAGATAGAGACATGAAAAATCCTTCAGAAAATCAATGAATCCAGAGTTGTTTTTTTTAAAGCATTAACAAAATAGATAGATGACTAGCCAGATGCCAGATTAATAAAGAAGAAAAGAGGGAAGAATCAAATAGACACAATAAAAAAGGATAAAGGAGATATCACCACTGATCCCACAGAAATACAAACTACCATCCAAGAATATTATAAACACCTCTATGCAAATAAACTAGAAAATCTAGAAGAAATGGATGAATTCCTGGATGCATACATCCCCCCTCAAGACTAAACCAGAAAGAAGTTGGATCCCTGAATAGACCAATAACAAGTTCTGAAATTGAGGCAGTAATTAATAGCCTACTGGCCAAAAAAAGCCCAGGACCAGACAGATTCACAGCCGAATTCTATGAGAGGTACAAAGAGGAGCTGGTTCCATTTCTTCTGAAACTATTCCAAACAACAAATAAAGAGGGATTCCTTCCTAACTCATTTTATGAGGCCAGCATCACCCTAATACAAACACCTGGCAGAGACACAACAAAAAAAGAAAATTTCAGGCCAATATCCCCGATGAATATTGATGTGAAAATCCTCAATAAAATACTGGCAAACCAAACCCAGCAGCGTATCAAAAAGCTTACCCACCAGGATGAAGTCACCTTCATCCCTGGGATGCAAGGCTGGTTCAACATAGGCAAATCAATAAACATAATCAATCACATAAACAGAACCAATGACAAAAACCACATGATTATCTCAATAGATGTAGAAAAGGCCTTTGATAAAATTCAACATCTCTTCATGTTAAAGACTCTCAATAAGCTAGGTATTGATGGAACGTATCTCAAAATAACTAGAGTTATTTATGACAAACCCACAGCCAATATCATACAAAATGGGCAAAAGCTGGAAGCATTCCCTTTGAAAACTGGCACAAGACAAGGATGCCCTGTCTCACCACTCCTATTCAACATAATATTGGAAGTTCTGGCCAGGGCAATCAGGCAAGAGAAAGAAATAAAGGTTATTCAAATAGGAAGAGAGGAAGTCAAATTGTCTCTGTTTGCAGATGACATGATTGTATATTTAGAATACCCCATTGTCTCAGCCCAAAAACTCTTTAAGCTGATGAGCAACTTCAGCAAAGTCTCAGGATAAAAAATCAATGTGCAAAAATCACAAGCATTCTTATACAACAATAATAGACAAACATAGAGCCAAATCATGAGTGAATTCCCATTCACAATGGCTACAAAGAAAGTAAAATACCTAGGAATACAACTTACAAGGAACGTGAAGGACCTCTTCAAGGCAAACTACAAACGACTTCTCAAGAAAATGAGAGAGGACAAAACCAAATGGAAAAACATTCCATGCTTATGGATAGGAAGAATCAATATCATGAAAATGGCCATACTCCCCAAAGTAATTTATAGATTAAATGCTATTCCCATCATGCTACCACTGACATTCTTCACAGAACTAGAAAAACTACCTTAAATGTGATATGAAACCAAAAAAGAGCCCATATAGCCAAGGCAATCCTAAGCAAAAAGAACAAAGCTGGAGGCATCATGCTACCTGCCTTCAAACTATACTACAAGGCTACAGTAACCAAAACAGCATGGTACTGATACTAAAACAGATATATAGACCAATGGAACAGAATGGAGGCCTCAGAAATAATGCCACACATCTACAACTATCTGATCTTTGAGAAACCTGACAAAAACAAGCAATGGGGAAAGAATCTCCTATTCAGTAAATGGTGCTAGGAAAACTGGCTAGCCATATACAGAAAACTGAAACTGGACCCCTTCCTTATACCTTATACAAAAATTAACTCAAGATAGATTAAAGACTTAAATGTAAAACCTAAAACAATAAAAACCCTAGAAGTAAACTTAGGCAATACCATTCAGGACATAGGCATGGGCAAAGACTTCATGTCTAAAACACCAAAAGCAATGGCAACAAAAGCCAGAATTGACAAATGGCACCTAATTAAACTAAAGAGCTTCTGCACAGCAAAAGAAACTATCATCTGAGTGAACAGGCAACCTACAGAATGGGAGAAAATTTTTGCAAACTATTCATCCGACAAAGGGCTAATAATCCAGAATCTATGAGGAACTTAAACAAATTTACAATTAAAAAACAACCCCATCAAAAACTGGGTGAAGGATATGAACAGACACTTCTCAAAAGAAGACATTTATGTCACCAACAAACATATGAAAAAAAGCTCATCATCACTGGTCATTAGAGAAATGCAAATCAAAACCACAATGAGATACCATCTCAGAAATACCATTTGACCCAGCAATCCCATTACTGGGTATATACCCAAAGGAATACAAATCATTCTACCATAAAGACACATGCACACATATGTTTATTGCAGCACTATTTACAATAGCAAAGACTTGGAACCAACCCAAATGCCCATCAATGATAGACTGGATTTAAAAAAAATGTGGCACATACACACCATGGAATACTATGCAGTGATAAAAAAAGAACGAGTTCATATCCTTTGCATGGACATGGATGAAGCTGGAAACCATCATTGTCAGCAAACTAACATAGGAACAGAAAACCAAACACCATATGTTTTCACTCGTGAGTGGGAGTTGAACAACGAGAATACACGGACACTGGGAAGGGAACATTACACTCCGTGGCCTGTCAGGGGGTTGGGGGCAAGGGGAGGGAGAGCATTAGGACAAATACCTAAAGCATGCGGGGCTTAAAACCTATATGATGGGTTGATGGGTGCAGCAAACCACCATGGCACATGTATATCTATGTAACAAACCTGCACATTCTGCACATGTATTCCAGAACTTAAGGTATAATAATAATAAAAAAATGAAAGCTGATACCGTTTAAATAAATCTTTAAACAGGTAAAACTAATCTTTGGTGACAAAAAAGTAAAAAGGGTACTTTTTGCTCAGTAGTGATTTAAAAAAAACACAAAACAGAGAAGTGTCTTCCTCTGGGTCAGTGAGTGGCAGTGGAGATTAACTGGAAAGAGGCATGCTGAAACCTGGGCTGATGAATTCCGGTCACACAGATCTATGCATTTGCCAAAACTCGTTGTTTTGTACTCTTACAATTTGTACACTTTGCATTGCTATTTTTACCTCAATTAAAAATATTACTATAAAAAAGATAACATCTAATAATTTAACTTCTCTGACTAGGTAGCTCCCTCTTTCATTTAGCAATCTTAAGCATAAATATGGTTAGAAGCACCTGCTGAGCCATAAAGTAAAATAGTTTTCTGAGTCTTTCAAAAGTTTTCTTCAAATATACCTTTCAAACAAACACTGTAAATATGATTTTCTCCAATAATACTCCAAGTGACACCTGAAAATGTTCATGTCTAAAAGCAATGCAAGGTGAAATAATTTATAAAACTACATCTCCACTTGGTTTGTTGTTGTCATACATCTTAATACATGTATTATATGTATTGTAGAGCTGCTAAACACCCTTTCTCTATTTCAATTCCCCTGTCTTGATAAATCGGCTTCATCTGGGCAGCGAGCAAGAAGAATCTGTTGGGTGGTTCAAATTTGGGGACTTATTTAGGATAGACCTTGCAGGTTACTGCCCATGGCTCAGTAGTCCCTTGTTGCCAGTGAGGGGCTACTGAACTATGGTTACCTTTGGGGAAAAAAAGGCCAAGCCCAAGCAGCTGCGTAGTTCTCTTGGACTATGTACTGCCTCTACTGGTAGGGCACTGTTGAGCCATACTGCATGGATCTAATTGCAATGGAGAAACAGTTCCTGGAAGATGTCTTTTAACCTGGTTGGATGAGTATTCCAGGTGCTGCCAACACCTGCTTCCTTCTCTTTATCTGTTGGCCTCTCTAGAGGTACTGTAGGTAGCCCTGTCATAGGAACTGTCTGTCTCTGCGGCCTCAAAAATAAGGGACTTTTTGGAGAAATACTCTTTTCTGGTTTGGAATCTGGTCTGGAATCTTGGTTTAAAAGACCTTTTGTTCATCTTTACCTTTTGTGTGTGTGCTTTTATTTACAGAGAGGATTCCCTGAAGGAACTGCTATTGTAAGTCTAGCAGGCTCTCCTAGTTTGTCTAGTCGGTCACATTCTGTGAGCCCTGAAGGAAGCACGACATGCCTAACTCAGGGTGACAGTTCACTCTTCTATCTTGTCCAAAGACCACCCATTGAAATGCCTGGTCAGAGGTCATCCCACCCCACTCTGAGTGGATCAAAGGTGAGGGGGCTGCCAAAGGAAAGTTTGAGCCTTGTCAGGTTGATACTTGGTTGCTGAGCAGGATGACTGGTATCTGTGTTGTCATGTACATTTTATTCCAGCTGGAATGAGAAATGTTAGTTTAGCTCCCCTATGCAGCTGTTTGGGTGGGATCTTGCAAAATTGAGAGGTTTTTGCTGATGGTTCCATAAAATGGGAAAATAAGATTTCTTTTGTAATGTGGCTTGTCCCTCACATCTATGGTGCTGCAAGCAGGGGCATCAAAAGCTGCTCTGCTATTTCGGAAGCTACAGAGAAAGCAAACCCAGAAACTTGTCAAGCCAGAAAAGGGGTAAGAATTTCTTACCAGCCAGGGCTTCTGGCCTCTCTGTATGCAAACTGCTTGAATGAATGGTAAAATTAACCATTTGTCTCCTCTGCAATGTTTTAATTAATAAGGAAAATGATTTGTGAGACTAGTCTTAGGCTGTAGAAAATCCGGTATATTTTGTGCTATAAATTTGTCTCTGTTATTCTGTTATAGAGAGGGGTACCACAGGATACAACACATTCTGTGAACCCCTATAAGCCTACTGTTCATGCTGGCTTACAGACTGGTGAGACACAAACTTTGCTGTAGGTCCCTGAAAAAGAAAAATTTAACAAAGTGACCTCTCATCTTGTTTTATGTCTTTGAAAACTTGACCATATGGAAGTACACGCTCTTGGTCTCTACTATCTGGAGGTTGGGAAGTTTCAAGTTCATATCATGGCTAGCTTTAAGAATTCTCTTAAGCAGTGAAAATCCTTTGCAAGCTCAAAAACGACTGCCTTAGATTCCTTCTGGGAATAGCAATGGTGACCGCCCCATGCTGTGGCTCACTAGCTAAGGCTTTGTCCTTTCACTATGGTGACAAGCGTTCAATTCCTAGCTGAGGGAATGAATCCTTTCTGGTTTAATACTTGCAGGACTTTTGCCATTGATTATTTTTCCTGTCATAGATAGCTTCTGATTTCTTGTCTTCAATTTTATTTTCTCTGAGCTACCTCTGGGGCAACTCTAGATCTTGTAAAAACTGCTTGCCATCTCTTTAAAGACACCTCATGCATCCATGGTTAAGTCATAACCTTAGCTAGAGCTTACTGGTTTCACGTGGGAGGTTACTTGTGGTCAAAAATTCAAAAGCCAGAAATACCAGCTGTTTGTCCTGGCTAACGTCTGCTAATAGAATATTTTCTTCTGAGAGTTCAGTAGTTAAAAATTAACTGAATTAATGTTTATATTTGGGATATATGTGTACAGATATTGTTTTAAATCCCCTGCTTTTCTTTTGTAAAAACTTCTCAGACAACTGAATTCTGTTTCCCATTTACTCCTGTATGTTCTTCCTTGCTCTTGTATCCAATCTTTTTGACTTTTGTAGACAGGGGAACAAGAAATTACTTCGCATCATGAGAAAAATCAACCTTGATGTATAATAGTTAGATAAGAAATATACTTTTAAAAATGGCTGATGGTAGTTGCTTACAGTGGCTATTTATTACTCCAGGATGACATTCCTTTCTTTGAGTGTTTAAATAAGAAAAGCATGCTCTTGGATACTGAGAAAGTATAGAATAGAGTATGAGCTTAGATCTGGTGTCCAGCATGGATGAAACCTTTGAGTTTGGTCCCTAAATTTGCATGAAAGCACAAGGTAAATATTCATTTGCTTCAGGAGTTTCATGTTGGATCTGTCATTATCAAAAGTGATCAGCAATGAAGAACTGGTCGGACAAAATTTAACATTGACGTAATGAAATTCCAGATGTAGGCATTCCCCCCAGGTCTTTTCATGTGCAGATTGCAGTTCTGATTCATTTAAATAAAAAGGAACTTGGAAAACAAACAAACAAAAAAAAAACAAAAAACAAAACAAAAAACAAAAAAAAAGAATAGAGTATGAGCTAATTAAAGAGTGGCCTGATTGCTGTTGGGTTGCCCAGCAGCCTAGAGGAAATGTCCTTTCAATAAGATACACTGTGAAAGCATTGCACTATCTTCTTCCATAGCATTTCCCTTTTGGGGGGCCCCAGGGTTTGCTGTAAAAATTAGATGTTTATCTTGCAGATCTGTTTTGCCTTCCAGCTATACCTGATAATTAGGCCGTAGAAACTGTGGGCTTTCCTGACCCTTTTCCCGAAAAGACTCCATCCTAAAGCCAATAACCTAGTCAAGAAACTTACATCTTTAAGGAAATCTCCATGTGTAAGACTGTCTGGTTTTCCTGGCCATCTTGACTGAAATTTTACCCATACCATTTTTCCTTGGTGTAAATAAAATATGAATTTTCTATTTTGCTTCACTTCAGAATTATCCTTTTAAAGACGCAAATTTGGAACTGCATGCCTGACAATTGTTAGGGCCTGGAACAGGTAATCAAGAGACTGATGGTCTAACATAAGAAAGAGAAACTTAAAAACAGTCAAATAACAAATCTTATCACTCTACCAAATCTGCATCGGTTTGTGTACTTGAATGTGTCATGTGTGTGATGTTTCACTATCAAAATATATGAAAAAGCTCTAATTAATTGGCTTAAAAATAATAAGGGCTTAAATAAAATATTTTGTCAGGAAAATAAAAACCTAAATGCCTTTTTGTTCATGTCACTCTAATAATCTTTGAAAAATAAAGACAGTTTTAAAGATTTTTGGTAAAACTAAAATGTCTCCAAAATTTACACATTTTTGTCTGAATGAGGCAGGTCAGGTATAATTTTTTTGCTAGATGCTCTAAGGTTAGAACACTGCTCTATGACTTTTAATAATTGTTCAACTTGGCTGCTTTGGAGCCATTAGATTCTAGGTAATGCCTGGGGACAGTGGAGTAGCCATGCTCCCTACCAGTGATGGAAAGAGTCTGACACTATCTGCAGTTCTGTCCTGTGTCATAGGCTTCACACATGATACACAATTAAAACTGCTTACATTTAAAATAAGAGTTATGTGTTATTAATAAAAAGGTATAGGAACATGTTGTTTTTAAAAATAATTTTGTCTCATTTAGAGAAATTAAGGATTGTTTCAAATATTTAAAAAATATAGGATAAAACTGAAGGTTTAAGCAAGTTGTAAAAGGCTTGGGAAAGAGTAATGTTGTTTAAAAAAATTCTATGTGGAACAAGTTGGATAAAATTAAAAAGATATTATTTAGTTTTTCCATAAATTGAACATCAAAATAAAAGCACACTGATGCAGGACCAGAATCTGAGCTCATGGGTCTCAGTAACAGGGTTTTCTTAGAGCATTAATCTGCTCTTTAACAGAAAATTGTAAAGTATTATAAAAGATTTATGGAAATATTGCCATATTGATTGGATTGGATACTGATTAAGATTGGATATATTTGTTTACAAAGTTTTATTAGGAATTGAGTTAATGCAAAGGTGAAATTTGTCTTTCTCTTTTTAACAATATTTTCATATAATATTAAAAGATAATGAAAGATTTTTGTTTGCCTTTTGAATAAATCACAAGAAAAAGAGGGGAGAGAGAAGAGAGATGAGACAAATTCAGTTGGCCTCCTGCTGTCTTTACTGGGTCTTGTTGGGAAAGCTGTCTGTCCTTTATCTATGAGTAAAGGTTTTTGCTTTAAAAACCTTTGAAAAGTTTTAAAGTATCATTTTGGCTAATAATTTAACTTACATTGACTTTGGATTCTGTATTGTGATATCAAGTATTTTAAACCTTTGATATATGACAAATTTCCAAAATTAAATTCTAAATTCAGTCCTTTTTTGACCTCATTCGTCATTTAAGTATTAGGTTCCCTGAAGTCCAGAAGAGACATATTTGGTTTATTTGGAATATTAAAACCATATAGGATACATCATCAAATATAAAATGATGTTTAACTTTCTTTGGGTTATATCATATAAATGTGTTGTTAGTATTTGTTCCAAAATAGTATAAGATTCCTATATGTTAGGAATATGTTAGTAATAATTATGATTGTTATGTTAAATTTTTGTGTGTCACAGAGATGACCAGATTTCCTTGTTGATTATGGCTTTAACTGTCATTGCCTTAAGACTTTTGTCATCCACAGATAACTGTCCTGTTTTGATCACTTTCAAAAGGTGGTTTATAATCAAGCCATAAGACTCTGTAGGTATCTGTTGAATGCAGATCTCTGATAACTTAGGAAATTTTGTCATTGAAATAGAGGAGAAAAAAGGAACTTCTAGGACTCATGGAAAGCTGATGTGTTCATGATGTGGAAAGCTGATATGTTCATGACGTGGAAAGCTGATATTGAGCAGCCCAATATCAGGCATAACAGGAGTTAATTATATAGACTGAACTAATAAAAGAGCCAAATAATCTTTTCATTATTATTTTGTTTAAAACATTCCTAATTCTTTTATTTTGCAGAGTCTAGAAACCCTTTTTCTTTTGATCTATTTACTGCTTTTAACAATTGGGTAAAGTATATGCCTATGAGCAAAATTTGGAGCATATTTCTTTTTTTCTACCTGCTTTCTCCAGAATTTGAAAACTATTTGTAAGTATACTTAATTTATGGCAGTCTAGTTATTTGCATAAGTTCAATAAGGATTTATTTTCTCTTGTAACAGGACACCATTGGAGACACTGGTTGTTTTTACCAGATTTTGACCAGAATGACATACTTTCAGATATAAAAAGACAGTTTTAATGAATCAAAGTTGACTTACGGAGCCAATTAAAGCACTTGGTTTTATCTAAAGGCTCTAGAAAAAGAAGTTAAAAAAAAAAAAAAGAACAACAACCAAAATGCTCCTTTGGAAAACTACTATTATATGTTGTCTATGCAGTCCCTGTACCTGTGGTAAGTAAAGAATGTCACTTTCTGACAGGTCTATGAACCCCACGTTACCTTGGGACCTTGAGAAGAGAGTCATCTACCCAATTCATAGAGGACTTACAAGCACAGATAAATCTGTGGGTGGGCTCGAGGCTTTAAAAGGTCTAATCTAAGATTGCTTATGAAAAAAGTTCCAACAAAGCCAATTTACAAAGAGCTTATATGGCAAATAATTATTCTTGCTCCACTTTATGCAAATAATCAGGTGAAATATAATAAGACTAAGACTTATTTTGCAAATAAGTTTGTCTAACTATGATTTGTCTCTATGAAAAATGGGGACCGGAGAAAAAATTATGTTTCGGAAGAAAAAATTATAGTACATCTGTTGTTAGATTCTAGCCTTGTCCATTATTTTTGCATCTTTATTACTTTCTGCAATTCAAACTGAATCCTGAATCTTTCTTGCCTACAAGTCCCCAAACTAATGCTTTCAACTTTTTCTTCCATTTTTCTGATTTAGACTCAATGAAACTGATACTACCTTTTTTCTGAGGTCCTGCAAGATGAAGCTTATTCCTTGTAACACAAGCAAGAAAAAATGTGTCTATTGCTACTGCCCTCCTCCTCTGTAACTAGAGATGCTTTGCCTCTAACATGTGGATAGATTGCACCCAAAATTAAGCTTTGGTTTTCTTCTGTTTCCATAGAAATGCCCCTTATTAAAAATTTGCCTTCATCACATATAGAGGCCCAGCCCATCTGCAATGCCACTACCTAGAATGAGACATGGCTGTTTGAACTGATTTATTCTCAGGACTAAAAACTAATTAAAAAGATACGACACAGTACATTTAAATTTACTCTTTCCTTTTTATTCCAATTTGTCTTTCTCAGAACCTGTGCCCCAAATCTCTCTCTACTAGTGACGCCATGTCTGATTGGTTCTTGGGGTTATATACCTGGATTACAAGGGCTTCAGAACAATTCTACAAGGACTTCTGAAACTAGGATTTTATTCCTTATATTAGGACTCATTATCTTGTAGTCTTCTGTTAACCACCAACCTGGCACCCATGAATACATGTAGACAGCTGCAAAGTGGTTTCACTCTTCTTACCTTGGAGACAACCCCTATCCCAACTGCAGCCTCTGTCAGCAGGAAGAAGTTAGAACAGCTGTCAGTCTTTTTCCATCTCTGTAGCTCTCACCTTAAGAATAAGGCATGATGAACCCCAAAAGAGACTACTAAAACTGCCTTTGCAATTGTTTTTCAAAAACAGTGAAAAAAATTATGACAGTAAAAGAGACCTGACCTAACCAACTCTATCATGTCTTTAACCACCAAACTGCCTTCAGTGGTTCCTGGGTGTGGTGCATACTAACTTTGGGAGAAATTCAATTTATTATTTAAATGATAATAGCTCTTCTCAAAATCTAAACTGCCTCTGTAAAATTAACAAAATGTCATCAGGTTAGGAGGATGTGAGGTGCTTGAATTCATAGTTAAATGATTACCAGCCATTATTTCAGAGGTCACAAGATTTGCAACTTCCCTCTAAATAACATCATTATTGTAAAATCTAAGATTGTCCTTTTGAGATGTCTTTTCAGGCATTTCTGATGACCAGATGGCCCCATCCAGAAGCAGACTCAGTACAGGAGCACCATTTTCCACACCCCTATGATATTGTCTCCAACCAATCAGTAGCACCCATTCCCTACCCCACTGCCTGCCTACTACCTATACTTGAGAAACCCTAGCCTGCAAATTTTCAGGGAGGCTGATTTGAGTAGTAATACAACTCTGGCCTTCCATTTAGCTAACTCCATGTGTATTAAACTCTTTATTTCAATTCCCCTGCCTTCATAAATAAGCTTCATTTGCACAGTAGGCAAGAAGAACTTGTACTATAATTAAGATCTGGATGGATTTCAAAGTGATGTTTGGTTGAAAACTATAGAGAAGTCAATTTTTTTACAGAAATTTCTTAGTTGAATAAATAAAACTAGCAATTATTTATCCAGTGGGCTTTACTAATTAAATTAAATGGAAATGGGATAGGGAAGCACCAATTTTAGATGTTGGATCTTAGATAATATTCCAGGGGAAGCTGTTACAATACACTCGCTTTCATAATTAAATTTATCCAAATTATGCTAGAATATTTAAGGAAAAGAAAAAAATGCAATGGTTAAAAAAATATTCCAAGGGATTAATTTTAATTGTACTATTAATGGTTTTCTTTAAAAGAAAAATGCTCAATAAATGGTCAGAATAGAACCTATGTGGGTCATTGTCAATCTTCAGTGATGTACACATCTGAAAGTGTAGTCAATTGACATCTCAAGTTAAAGGGCAGTTGTTCTCTTGTTATCCCTTTCCAAACCAGTAAAACAATGCCGAGACTTCACAATCCAAGTAATTCAATCAAAATATCAACTTCCAAGGTTTAGGTTAAAGTTCACATTCTCTTTGCGTTTGTTTTTTAATTGACAAATTAAAATTGTATATATTCATGGTGTACAGTTTTGAAATATGTATATATTGTGGAATGGCTAAATCAAGCTAATTAACATATGAATTACCTCAAATACTTTTCATTTATTTGTTATAAGAACACTTAAAATCTGCTCTCTTAGCAATTTTTCAGTATATAATACATTGTTGTTAATTATAGTCATCATGGGTATAATAGATCTCTTGAACAAAGCTCACATTCTCCTTAATGCCTTCACTAATACCTACAGACAGAATAATGTTCTCCACCTCTGGTGTACACAGAGAAATGTATTTGTGTTTTTTTCCATATATACACAAATTTATAAATGTATGCTTTCCTTGTAAGACTCTTTTGCTGGGTATTCTGTCAGCGTCTACAATTCACAACCCTTTCACACCTGACAATGGGCCCTGTGACCTCTATGAGCCAAATCACCCAGGCTCCCTTTATCTTTTGCTTATAGTTTGCTTTGACAGGATATAAAAGGTGGGGAGAATGGAGAGTTAGGAGTACTTCTTCTCTCCACTCCTTTCCTACTTGGTCACAGTCCTGGGAAAGATTTCATTGTTCTAACAACACATCTCTTGGGTAAATTCTATTTCATAGCTCTAGCTCTTATCCCTCTAGTTTTTGAGGTAAGTGATATCTTCCCATTATTGCTAGACCCTGGGTCTGCTGGTTAGTTCTCTTAACCCTATCCATATTCACTAAATTGTTCCTTTACCTGATATTCTCACACCATTCTCAGTATGCAATCCAATTTCTACTTCAACCCAGCAAGTATATTCCCAAAGAGAAGAATTTAGGCACTCATTAGCTGTTTTCACAGTGCTTTATACAATGCCTAGAATAGAGAAGCACTCATTAAATGTTTTTGAAATATGTCAATGAATAAATGGAAACAGTATTAGGTTAGCTATGATGCAAGAGAAAAAAATAAGTATAAACAATGGCCCTTATTCTAACTAATGAAGGTTACAGTCTAAGGGAGAAAAGAATACAGTAGTTCATACATTCAAGGCTATACTTGGTAAGTAACAAGTCACAGGCCTCCATGTTCATATTCCAGAAAAGGAACAATCCTTACTATTAGTAAAAAAAAAGCTACCTAACACTGTGTTAAATTTATGTGTATATATATTTACACATATGTGTGTGTGTGTGTATCTACACACACAGAGAGACAGAGAGATTCAGTAATCTCACAAATTTCACATAAGGTAAACAAAGATAAAAAGAACAACAAACCAACACTTCCTTGCCTCATGGGTGTGCTGGCAGCTTTGATTAGTTAATATTTATAAAGCACTTTGAAAATGAAAAGTGCTAAACATTATCTAACAGCTCGGTAAATGCAAATTTGTCAGGTCTTATGAAATTTAACAGAAATTAGAGAGTGACAAACTACACACACACACACACACACATACACACACACACACACACACACAAAAGTTCAACCAAGGCTTTGCATTTAGAGGGGCCAGATGGGGAAGAAAATACTTTTTCCCTAGGGCAGAGAATCAAGCTAATCTATACCCCACCCCTACCCCCACTCCCACCAACACACAGGCTGCAGAAACGTTTAATTTAAAGCCTGAAAGATAATGCACTTTGTAACAGCATGTAAATCAATGTTTTATTAAAGCCTGTTAATTACAATGCAGAAAAATGCAAATCGCAATAAAACACATCAGAAGCGGATTCATCCCTGCTCTGTTCTCAGTGGAGCAATTACCACACACCTTGCTTTGGCAGGTTGGGGTAGAATTTAACTGGGCTGGGGTCGGGGGTAGTTTTACCTCTTGCCTCTGGAAACTGCAGAATCTTCCAATCATTTCACTGCACCACTCAGAAGTACAAAATATCCCCCCCGGCCATTTTTTTAAGTTGTATTTTTAAAATGCTTATGCTTTCCTCTTCGTTGACTTTAATATGCTTAGTCTAAGAGGCTTGCCTGGCCGGATAACCTTTTTACACAAAAGAGAGCAACTTACATACCATAGCATTTCTCCGTAACTTGTCCATTAATTAGAAGTCTTAGATTTAATATCATTAAGCTTGTCCCTTTGTATCATTTTATTTATTCAGAATTTATGTATATAAACTAGACATTCGATTAAATAGCCAGAACCATGGCATTAATTTTTCAGCTGTTAGGTCAGGATATGAGCTCAGGTTTATTGAGGTGTTTTTATTTGTCATAGACAGGAAAAAGGCATGTAGGTGACAAATCCTCCTTAAAGAGTACTGGAATAACGATAAATAATATCTACTGAAATTGAATGCAAACATACAGAAAATAAGGGGAAAAGTAAAGGAATCGAGAGAATGCAATACCAAATGAATTCTAAGAAACACTGTATGAAAAAATATATTAAAAAAAATAGTAAACCAATTCTTCAACTGCCTTGAAAGTGGAAGTTTTTAGTAACTAAGGTAGAGAGGAAGAAGCAGAAGCTATTATTGCCATTATAATCCATAATCTTATTTTATACTGGAGTTTGTGGAACTCTTTCATTTTGAAGGAGGCCTTAAAAGGCTTCACTGCTATGCATTTTGTTAAATAAATAAGGCATAATAAATAAACTACAGATAATAATATATCGTACAAGCTCTAAAAAGTTAAATAGGCCTTTAAGGCTCAGTGATTTTTAATATGTTAAGCAATTGGGTATCCATGACAAAATAAACTGAAATTGCTGCAATTTTATATGGCTGATACTTTGAACACTTAGCAGTTAAGTGAACTTTCAGTGCATATAGTTTATGTTATTTATGAGTAATAGAATGCATATGATAATCAACTTTTCCATTTCTCAAGCAATGGGTTTTAAAGATCAAATGAGACACCGTATGTGAAAGTGACTTAAAACTGTAATGAACTCTACAAATATTAGGTTTTATTTGGTGTTTCAAATAATGTAATACCTTTGGAAAAAGAACAAAATATCTACCTATTCACATTTAAATGTCCAAGCCAGTGATAATAATCATTGTCACCATTCTTTCTTGTGATTTAATCAAACATCCTTTCCCAATCCATGTCTTCATATTAAAACAACCTGTAAGCAAAGATTCCCCCCAACGCACACATACCCGTAAGAAAATAAAGGGTACGAGGGAGAGGAGCATGTTTCTTGTCTGGCATCTCTGAGTTGTGCTTCTGTTTTATTCTTCAATTTGGAACTTTCTGAGAATAGGCAACTAACAGAGAAATTTTCTTGTATGCAACTACATATTTCTTTAAAATATGTGGTTGTGTAATAAGTGAGTAATTCCCCAAAAGTGGCTATCTCTCATGTAATTATCTTCCCCACTCCCAATAATTATAATGGTCCTCAATACTCTAATAATTTTATGAAGAATAAAATACTGGTGTCCTAAGTTACTTATCAGAATGTACTTTCCTGTATAAATAGTATTATGAATGGTAGCTACATATATATTTAAAATACTTCCATTGACTCCATGTATTAAGTGTGTGTCTATGTGTGTATATACACACATATGTAATTTCGTTAGTTTTCTGAGGTTAATATTGAACAAATTATTAATTTAATTATTTGCTTAATAAACTTTTTAAAATTTGTAATACAACTTTACAAATCAACTGTTTTTGTGTATGTCATGCCAAGTGTCAGGTTCCAGACCATGCTAAGGTCTGAGGGGAGTGGGTGGATGAGTGGAGGACAGATGAAATAACACTCAAGCGGGGCCATGGGCAGGTGAAATGTGGTTTTATTCAGCAGCTCTCTTACACTATCTGCCTTTGTCTTGGCTGTCTGCTCTGGTTGCAGCCACTCTTAGCAGCAAGCTCTGAGGCCCCTATGACTCCCACACATACAGCTGCACTCTCCGGCACACTTGCTAGTTCCTGGCTCCCTCCTGTCCATCTGCAAGAAGCAAGCTGTCTTTTATAGGGTCAGCACATTTCTTTCTCTCTCAGGGCATGTGCCGCATGTACAGTGTCAGGAGGGCAGTTATACCTTTTACAAAAAATAGTGGCTTCGAGACAAGTATGAGCTTACACAAACAAGTTATATAACAAGAGGAGTTGTGCACCTGCACTCCTAACTTGCTGAGTCATGCAGGCCTGGATGTCTGCCTCCACCTATTCTTGACCAAAGCACATCCATTTACCTTACAGTGTGTTTAGTCCATTTGTAAATTGAGAAATATTTATTCAGCAAAATTTATTATAAGGATACTTTGAGCACCATATTCTTGGTCAGACTACCATTCCAGGGGCTGTGGTAGTAGTGTAAATAAAGTATCATGCTCACTAACATCTACTTCCAACTGGAATGTCTTCACTATTTACCTGATGGCAATTCTTCCTTTGATTAGTCCCCAGATCCTGCAGAGACTACATGCCATGGTCAATAGCAACTGTGTTCCTCAAATGTATATTAACTTAACCTCTGTTTTTATAAATGAAATATAATCAGGCAATAACTAGCAGTTATATTTATTTTCTCAATGTCAACTTATATAGTCTTATTCTTTATTTTTGTTTTTATGCATTAAAATAATATTAAAAACAGTGTTTAATCAATGTTGTTTTAACAAATTGAAATAATAGCCCAAATGAAAATTTTAATTCTTCCATTCTTTAGGCTAGATTGCATTGGATATTTTTCTAAATGCAAAGAAGACCTAAGTATAAATTTTATAATTGTAGCTAAAATGTAACATAAGAGAATGAGAATGTCATGCTTACTGACTCCAAAAATATTCCAAATGTTATTTTTATTTTCTTCCTTCTCATTTCATTAACATTATTTAATAAACCTACTTCAATATTTAATATTTGATAATTGATAAATATTTCTTTACCTATAGCCTCATGCTAAAGTTAGCTATGATAACTTTTACTACAAGATATGTATACAAGTTGATAGCATTTCTCCAAATACATATGACAACTGAGTTTCAACCTAAAATATTTCTATTTTAAAAAATCAGAAATTTTACATGAGATTCTTATTTTGACCAAAATGGAATAAGTCTTCCACTGAAACAACTTCTAAAATTTAAATATATACCTATATATATTCATACATGCACATATATAATATGTATGAAACAATATGGCTTGACTCATTTGTTTGCCATCTCTCAGGGATCACTGTCCTATATTGCCATATAAACTATACGTTTTTCAAGGCATTGAACATCATCAGGCAACATAGGACAGTGATCCCTGAGAGATGGTGAACAAATGAGTCAAGCCATACTATTGGCTGAGCTTGCTGCATGTAGTTTCTAGGCTGTAGTGCAGGGAAGAAAACTGAGGCAGGACCCAGCATGCGGCCTGAGTTGAAGAGACTGAGCTAGAAGTGTGGAGTCACCAAGTTGGCTAAAGTTCAAAAGTAGATTACTGAAGATGAGGGAACTGCACAAAGAAACTCCAGCAACATGCAGAAGATCCCCTGTGAGTGCTTGGTCTTGCCTAACAAATCTTAAAAGCAAGACCAAAGCAGGTTAAACTTTTTGTAAGTAACTCAGCTGAAGTCCAGAAAAAAAGCTGAGGCATATTTATAGAAATACAAAAATATCTGTAATCCCAGCACTTTGGGAGGCCCAGGAGGGCGGATCACGAGGTCAGGAGATCGAGACCATGCTGGCTAACACGGTGAAACCCCGTCTCTACTAAAAACACAAAAAATTAGCCGGGCGTGGTGGCAGGCACCTGTAGTCCCAGCTCCTCGGGAGGCTGAGGCAGGAGAATGGCGTGAACCCGGGAGGCGGAGCTTGCAGTGAGCCGAGATGACGCTACTGCATTCCAGCCTGGGCGACAGAGCGAGAAAAGAAAGAAAAAAGAAATACAAGAATATCTAGCACCCAAGAAGGCAAAATTCATAATAATTGGCATCCAGTTAAAAATTGTCACACATGCAAAAAGCAGAAAAATGTGACCCAAAATATGGAAAAAACACCAGAATTTAAAATAACCCAAGTTTAAAATAACCCAGAATTGATAGAAATAGTAGAACTGAATTAAAGACAAAAATATTGAGAGAAGTATTCATTCTATATTTCACACATTAAAAAAGTTAAGTAGACACAAGTGAGATACAAAAAAACCCAAATCAAAATTTTAGAGATTAAAATGAAAATGTCTGAGATGAAAAATACTTTGACTAAGATAAATGGCTGATTAGACATTCCAGGAAAAAAGATTACAGAAATAAAATATGTAGGCAAGAGCAATTATCCAAAATGAAACATAGGAAGAAAAAATAATTAAAAGAAATAAACAGAACAGCAGTGGGCTGTGAGACAACTGCAACAGCCTAACACCTGCAGTTGGAGTCCACGAGGACGGGAGAGAGAGAGATCAGATACATTATTTAAAGAAAAGCTAAATGTTTTCCAAATTTGAGGAAAAGTATATGTCCACATATCTAAATAGCTAATAAACTCAAAACACAAGAAACAAGAAGAAAATTATGCCAAGGCACATCATAATCAAATTGTACAAAACAAATTATAAGAGAAAAATCATAAAAGCAGTTACAGAAAAAGAATCATGTCCAGAGGGAAAAATAAGAATAACTGTAGATTTCCATCAGAAACAATATAAACAAGAAGAAGGTGAAATAACACTTTTAAAGTACTGAAAGCAAAAATCTGTCAACCTAGAATTCTTACATTGAGTAAACATACTTTTCAAAATGAAGAACTAAGGACATTTTCATACATTAAAAATGGAAAGTATTCATCAGAAGCAGATGAACATGCTCAGAAACATTAAATAAAATTCTTTACATTGAAGGGAAATAATAAATGTATATCTGGGTCTACACAAAGGGATTAAGAGTACCAAAAATAACTGAGTAAATATTTAAAAAATGTCTTTATTATTTAAACCACTTTAAAAAGATAACTGACTATTAAAAGCAAGAATACAATATATTGTAGAGTTTACAATGTGTAAAAGTAAAATATATGACAATAAAGCCTAGGAGGGGAGACATACAAGTATACTGTTGTAAGGTTCTCATTCTATATGCGAAGTGGTATAATATCATGTGAAGTAGACTATGACAATTTAAAGGTGTGTGATACAAACCCAAACCAACCACTAACACAGCAAAACAGAAAGTTATAGCTAATAGCTTACAAAGAAAGGAATTACTAAAAATACTGAATAATTAAAAAGAAGGAGAAAAAGAGAATAATGGGAAGAAAACATAGTAGAGTAAATTTAAAAAAAAACAAAAAACAAGATGATAAATGTAAACGCAATCGTATCAATAATTTCTCTAAATATAAATGGCCTAAATACCTCAAATAAATGCGCCACTTAATATACCCAGGTTCTCAAATTTTCATTTGTTCAAAACAAACCTATAAAGAGACTGCTGCTATCATGACATTTTACAGATGTTCAGTGAAATTGTATCATTTCCTTTGTTTTTGTTTGAGGTAACTAGCAACCCTAGACCCTAAGAATCAGAATAACTGCCTCCTATAGGGGAAATGCTTTAGATGTCTAAGACTATTACAGTCAGCTTCTACGATCATGTCATAAATATTATCACAGGAAAAGTGTATATTTATTCACACTGATAAGTGTACACCCTATGGAAACCATATCTTATTGGTTTATATATTTGTGATAATTTTAAAATTATGCTGCCAAATCTCTAATTCTAAATTTATTGTCTACACAGTCCATTTGTTTTCTGGAATCAAGTTTTCCCCACTGAATGCAGTTCCTCAAATAAACGTGGCCTTACTGATTAGTATAATCACAGACAGTATACTCAGAGAAATTTCCCACTTAATGTGAGAATAATTAATCAGTGTCTACATTATCCTTACCACATCTTGCTCATGCATAAGTGCGTTCATTCATGTTCTTTGGCTTACAAATTGAAGATTAGCTGGCAAATGGAATTGAGTTAAAAATGTGACTTAGGCAGGTAACAAATAAGCAGATGTTGAATTGGGGATGTAAAGTGTGAAGTCAAAGGCATCAGGCAAGGTGTAAACAAAAGTTGTGATCTTAGTACCAACTCTGCAAAACATTATCCTTTAGAGTAGAAAATTGATGTTACATTGAGACCTGGTATGTGGTAAGCACTGTCTATTCATAGCCTCTTTTAATCCTCACAGAGTAAGATACTTCTGAAATTTTAATTGGTGAGGTTTCTATTCACAGTATTCCTTTCTATCTTCTGGCCACCTCCTCATTGAGCCAGTCATTTGAATGTTCGCTACTCATAGAAAGGATGACACACAAGATCACAGAAACAAAGGATGATTCTTGACTTTTGGATTTCAAACATAGGGCTCAAGGACGTGTGAAAACTTATGCAATATAACTATATTAGGTAAAAATGATGAAGGAGATAATCTGCCCATTGAGGGACTCTAAAGGAGGTGAGGAGATGAGAAAAGATGCAAGGGATATAAAGAGAAAAATGGAGATTGGTCTGGATTAGGACGAGACCAGACTTATAGGAAGCTTGTGGAAAGGAGAAAAGTCACCATCCAGGGATCACTTACCTTCACTTTAAGGCACACCATTCAGTGCCAGTACCAAGAAGCTCCATAAGAGCAGAATCAGTGTTCACAAACTGTCTAGGCTCCATCTGAATAAGCACACTCACCAACAGGACCTAAGAAATACAAAAATTTTCATTTCTAGTGGCTTTCACTGAGGACTTCACTTTGATGGTAGTCAATGTCATACCAGCTGGCTATTCAGAGAGTTGTTTTCCTATACTTTGCCTGATAGATCCCTGCCTAATTTCACTGCCACTTTTCACCATCAAAGTAGACCTTTACGTCTTTGGTTTCTGGACTTGAGGAAGGCTCCTACATTTGTACTTGAGTGAGACTTAATGAGTCAGTTTGAGATTTCTCCTAAACCAAGTTAGAGGTAAAACACAACACTATTATAGTCAAAACAGCCAACTGGGTAACTGTTGTAATTCTTACAACACATAGAATAAAACTAGGATTCAGAAGAGTTAATTTGTTCTAGTTCAGTTCCATGCCGTCTTTTTTACTATACCTATTAGTTTTGATTTTAATGACAGAAAATATCAAATAATTAATCTTTTATGGGAAGAAATTTGCTCAATTGCCAGGTTTTTTTGTTTGTTTGTTTTTGTTTTTGAGACTGAGTATCGCTCTGTCACCCAGGCTGGAGTGCAGTGGCAAGATCTCGGCTCACTGCAAGCTCTGCCTCCCAGGTTCACGCCATTCTCCTGCCTCAGCCTCCCAAGTAGCTGGGACTACAGGCGCTCGCCACTACACCTGGCTAATTTTTTGCATTTTTAGTAGAGATGGAGTTTCACCGTGTTAGCCAGGATGGTCTCGATCTCCTAACCTCGTGATCAGCCTGCCTCGGCCTCCCAAAGTGCTGGGATTAAAGGCGTGAGCCACCACGCCCGGCAGCCAGGTTTTAAATATCTCCTAAGCTTCTGAATTATAAAATAAACAAACTAAACTTCTAAGTAATTCATGGAAGAAAGAATAAGCAAAATTGTTTATAAAAATATTTAGGATAATATGAGGAATTAGTAGAGAGACCCTGCACGTTCTGTATCATAAAATAATAAAATAAACATTATGCCAAAGTCTTTGAAATTCCAATTAATAAGAAAATTTTATAGAGCAAAATAATTTTCAAATTCCATTCAATAGTTGATTAGACCAACGATTGAAAATTTTGTCCTATAAAGAGCCAGATACTAAACACTTTACTCTTACAGGCCATAGTCTCTGCCCCAACTACTCAACTTTGCTACTGTAGTATGGAAACAGCCATAGACAATATTTAAAAAATGAGTGTGGCTTTTTCCCACTAAACTTTATAGCAAAACCTTGTAGAGGGCTAGATTTGGTTTTTAGGCTTTTAGGCCCTAATTTGACAATCTCTTGATTAGAAAATAGCTGTTATAAATATACTCAAAAATATACATACATAATAAACTGTATTTCCAGGTCATTTTAAAAGTGAGTTTGCCAAATCCTGAAAGAACGGATGACCTCAGATGCAACTATTCCTAAGTAAAGAAAAAACCTGTAAGATTCAAAATTCTTTTATGTTAGCACAAGCTTTACATCAAAGCTAGATAAAGTACTATGGGATTGGGTGATTCTAGACCAATTTCACTTAGGAATAAAATGTCATAAGTAATTAGTAAACCAAATCCAGCCATATATTTCAAAAAGAACATAGCACAACCAAATTGAGTTTACAGAGATTAAAATAGGGAAATCATATGAACATATTAAAAATGCAAAAAAGAATCAAATATAAAATTTGGATGTGATAAAAACTCTTAGCAAAGTAGGAATAGAATGTAAATACCTTATGCGGTAAAAAATACAGACCAAGACCCCACAAAAGTTCTATAGTCAAAGATCAAACTATAAAAGTATTCCCATGAAAATAAGAGACGAGAGAAACATAATGAGTACTACTTCAACATTTTACTAGAAGGGCTGGGTAACACAATGAGACAAGATGAGTTAGATAAAGATCAGAAGGAAAGAACCCAAATTATCATTATATCTCAAATATGTGTGTCTTCAAAAAGAATTCAAGAGAATTTATAGACAAATATGGAAAATGAAAAGAGAGTTCAGCAGGTTTGCATGATATAAACCCAATCTTCAAAACTGAATAGCACTTTTTAATATCAGAAACAACTAACTTGAAAACATTATACTTTTCAAAAAGCATTCCATTCATAATGACCACTAAATACTATGAGGATTCTTGGAATAAATACAAAAGTTAGTAAAGGAAAAATCTGAGACAATATTATAAAACTTCACTGAAGAATAAAAATAAAAATGGCATAAATAAGTAGAGAATAATTCAGTGCTTATGATAAAATAAGACAATATTTTAAAATCGTTGCCCTATTCACATACATACAGGCCAAATTAATCTGAATGTATGCTTTAATGGTATTAGGTATTCATGTAATACATTCGTTAGTAAATTTGCAATTGTTTTTTTAAATCATCCAAAACAGTATTATTGGTTTCAGTAAAATCCCTTGTACCATGCAATCAGTACCAGGGCATAACTCTTCTAATATCGGTCAGATTTTTCAAATGTTTAATACATTCATAAAACATAAAGCACACATTGACATAAGCATTTATTATTGTTTCAATTATAAAACAAAATGTTTATTGTAAAATACACAAAAAACATTTTGAAAATACATAAAAGTGCAAGCAAGAGGAAAAAAAGTCACCCATTATTTTGCCATCCCTATAAGCAGTGCATGTAGTTTTAGTTTATATTTTTTGTTATTTTTATAGATACATTTATTTTATTGATTTTTATATTTCTTAGATAAATGTTTTCAGATGCTATCCTACATTAAAATGGATAATCCAGAAGTGTTAAAGCATGTACTTCTGTAACTAAGCATAAGTCTACTGAGCAGCCATCTGCTTATAAAGTGTGACTTAATGAATCCGCAGGGCAAAGTCAGTAGTGAGGTGCACTCTGGGGATACCTGCACAGCAAAGTCACAATATACAGGCATTTAAAAAATATTTTGTTCTAATTTCATTCTTATTAGTAGCTCTCTGCTTGCAAATATTTTTACTCAAAAACAGTTTGAAGTAAACATGTATTGCTTTGACACACAGCTAATTTTAAATTCATTATTTTTTGTTTTTGCCAGTTACAAATCATTTTCTGTTGTCATATTATTTCAACAGAGAAGGGCAAATCCTATTTCTTTTTTCTTGAAAACAAGTGACTAAGCCTCCATTCAATGACACACCCATGAGAAATGTTTTGCAATAAATAACAGCTCAAGGGAACTAAAATCCCCAAGTAGAAGTCAGAAACAGCACTGTTGTCTTGTGCTAAATAACATATTTGGCATGTTGTGAAAACACCAGAACTATGCATACTATATGATCGTGGTTCTCAGTTTTATTTCACTTGATCAATTTATTGTGTGTTCTGAGGCATCAAAAGTAATTTATGTTTCTGTACTTGATAAATTGTGGTAAAAACCACTGGTGCTCATCAAGTATCTACATACTCCTTATGTTTTCCTAGCCACAAAGCTTCTAGGTGGGGTCACACAATAAACTTTTGCAATGGAACATCAAAAGAAGGAATGTAGGATGTGTCACTTGTTACCGAAGCGGTTAAGAATGAGCATTTTCTATCCTCCCTCTTTCTTCACAATTAGAAACCAAGTACACATAGGTCACAAAGTTCTAAAAGGAAACAGCCTAAGTTCTTAATTCTTGAAAGATAATTGTGCTGCAGAACCTCCTGTTCTTCGTGAAGAAATAAATAATATTTTTGATGAGCCAATAAAAGATAGGTATTTCTTTCTTACTACAGTGTAGTCTAGTTGGATCGTTTGGCATTGTTGTATTGTTTTGTAGTAGTTCAAGTGTGTGTGTATAGGAGAATGCATATGGAAACTGAGTAACCAGAGGAAAAGATTGTGCCCATTACCAATTTATCTCCTCTCAGCTCCAAATTTACTCCCTGGTGCTGGCTCTGACATAATGACTTAGACTCTAAACGTTTCTTCTTAACAGCGAGAATTATGTTATTTTTCATCAATAGAGGGCGGAGAGAGATATTACGTGAGAAAGGGACCGCTCTTCCTGTTTCTGGAGTGCTCCACTAGTGAAGAGAGAGAGAGAGAGACAGAGAGACAGAGAGAGAGAGAATGTGTGTGTTCACATCCAGGGTCATCCTACCCCAGCTGCACACCCAGAATGTACTGTCCCTCAGCAACTTTGCAGCAGCCCAGGTTGGGGCCTGGTGACTATCACCAGCTCCATTCCAGTATCTCTCTGAGCACTCCCAGCACAACACAACTTCAGGAAGACTGTGTTGGAAGAGTTGTTTCCTGCAGGCTTCCCAACCTTACACACCAGCAGGCCTCATGCCATTGCCAGCTACTGGGCTCCTAACACTTGATTCCTTTATGCCTGCCTGCCACCCAGTCTCCATTCGACTGCACCTAAGGCTGTTTCCTGCTTTCATTACAACTTTGAACCAGCACTGGCCTATAGGTTAACTTGGCTTACCTACTCTGACTGGTAGGTGAACTTTCCTACAAGTCAGTAGATTAAAACTGTACCTTTTCCATTGAGGTCTGAATCCCAGTTGCTGGAGGTGGTGGTGGTAGGGCAGTTCTAAGTTGTCCTTTCTTATGTAGTCTCATCCAGCTGTACAAAGCCCTTCAGATTTCTCTTTACATCTTTAATGTTACTCCCCTATTATAGTTCAATAATTGCTATATTAAACCTTCCCTCATCAAATTATTATGCAGTTTTTATCTGTCTTGTGATTGGCCCTAGACTAAAACACTAGCCTAACCTAACTAATGAGCAAGTTATAGTAGGGAGATTTCAAATCAGAAGAATAAACCCTAGGAATAATTTAGATTACATGCTATAGAATACATTGTAGATTATTACACTTAAGCTCAAACAATTCTCTTAAATTCCAAATTGAAAATAATTTTGTATTAAAAGAAAATACACATGGGAGTCAAAAATGGGCTACAGATTGAATTTGTGTCAAGGTAAGGGCGTTATAGCTATCCCCTTGTGAGCTATTTGGGGACGGTCTCAACATGAGACATTTTTGTACCAAATAATAAAATATAAATTCAATTAATTTTGAGAGTTAAAATTATGAATCTCTCTCTATATATATAATTATAATTAAATTTTAGAACTACCACAGACAATAGTTTTATTATTATTATTTTCTTGATAAAACAACCTCAGTAAAGTTAATTTTAAGCCTGAGGTCACACAGCTTTACTCCATTACACAGTCAAGAAAATGGAGAGATAGCTATGTTAAATAATTTTCCCATGTTACTACCAATAAGTGTCAGAGAGAGAGAGAGAAACTCCTACTCCAGAGCCTTAATTCTTAACCTTTAAGTTACATCACATCCTGTAGTGGTCCCAAAGGAATTGTTAATCAGTCTGGCTCAGTGGCTTATGCCTGTAATCCCAGCACTTTGGGAGGCCAAGGTAGGCGGATCACCTAAGGTGGAGCTCGAGACCAGCCTGACCAACATGGAGAAACCCCATCTCTACCAAAAATACAAAATTAGCCGGGTGTGGTGGCACATGTCTGTAATCCCAGCTACTTGGGAGGTTGAGGCAAGAGAATCGCATGAACCCAGGATGTGGAGGTTGCGGTGAGCCAAGATCGCGCCATTGCACTCCAGCCTGGGCAACAGAGCAAGACTCCGTCTCAAAACAAAACAAAACAAAAGAAAAGCCAAAAAAAAAAACCAGAAGGCAGGGGAAGGTCTTTAAATGAATGATATCTTTGATGATTAATTTTATATATCAACTTGAGTATGCCATGGGGTGATGAAATATTTGGTCAAACAGTATTCTGGGTGTTTTTGTGAGGGTGTTTTTGGATAAAATTAACATTTAAATCAATTAACATTAAATTTAAATTAACATTTAAATCAATACACATTATGGAGAGAAAAGCTCTCCATAATGTGGATGGGCCATATTCAATCAGTGAAGGTCTGAATAAAACAAAATGGCTGACTCTCCTTTGAGTTAGAGAGAAAGTTCTCCTGTCTGACATCCTTCAAATTGAATAATTGGCTCTTGTCTTTACAGCAGTTTCTGGCTATTGGACTTTAACTAGGGCAATAGCTCTGTATATTTTGTGCACACATGCTCTCTCTCTCTCTCTCTTTCTCTTTATATATAAATAAGCATATATTTTAAAAGTTTATATATATAAGCTTTTTAATATATGTTCTGTTTCTCTAGAGAACCCTGCCTTATAATATAGTACCCAAGGTAGTTATATTTTAATGAAGCACAATATCCAATAAATATTTAAGAAGTAATCATCCCTCCAAAAATAGTAAATAGAAGAAAGCAAGCAAAAAAACAAACAAACAAAAAAAAACAAAAAAAAGGAAGGCAGGAAGGAAGGGAGGGAGGGAAGGGGGAAGGAGGGAAAGAAGGAGAGAGAGACTGATTTTAAAAAAATAAAAAATAAACAGGATATACATGAGAAGTGTTAACTCAGGTAAAGGGTCAGCAGGAATGATTGTGAGGAACAAGTGCATGGCAAAAGGAGATGAAAATATAACACTTTCTGTATGCATTATTTTCTGGAGTTTGTCCATAGAAGGTTAAAACTGCAAACCCTCTTTCTTACTAAAACTGAGAGATAAACTGCAGTAGAATAGGAAATGCAACCAATGTATTTTTCTCTGTGCCTTTACACAGTCTTAAATACACATGTTAAGTCTAGAGTCACAAGCATTACTCAAGACCAATTTTCAGCATCAAATTTGGTGTATCTACGCCAGAAAATATACCAGGCATTTATTCAATAGCTTTGCAAACCCCTTTCCCCAGTGAATCTACCCCTATGAATATCAACGCAGCATTAATCTCATATCAAAGAGAGAGTTTTCTTGTTTATATAGGAAATGACAATATGCTGATATCAAAGATAAATGATTCATAGACAAACTAGGCTCAGAGATGCAGCTAAGTGAATAAAGAAGAACACTTCCATTTGCTCTATTTTAATTTTACTCTCAGGCAATCCCTAGCTATGCTGCGCCGTCATTTAGAAATTTTCCAATTCCAAGTAAGAAAGGAAAGCGTTTTAATTTAAAAATAATTATAATGTAGAATGAATATTGAATATTAATCTCTAGTGTCTTTGTTATGATGTATTCGTCTATATAATTAAGAAAGTGTAAATATTATAAAATTCAGTTTACAAAAATATTTGAGATTTTCCATTTTCCACTAAACTGATGAGAGCTTTTTTTTTTTTGGAGCCACTAATTTTTGGGATGGTGTATATGCAACAAAAGTGAACTGATCTATTTATCCCATTCTTTCATTATGCTACCTCATAAAATACTAGAATATGTTTAGAATATTAGGATAATGATATTCATTCACATTAAAACCCAAGTTTTGATTTAGTTGACTAAGAAGATTTAGAAATCAAAAACATGCTAATGTTTTGGAACAAATGCAGTCAACTCTATACATAAATATACCCAGATGGTTTCATAAATATCTATGCTGTTTGCTTGTTTTTTTATGAACTAGCCTAAGAGGATATTCTGTTTTTAACAGTAATACTAAAATGTATTGTAGCCCCTGTTAGAAACTATGCTGAACACTTTATAAGCCTTGCCTCAATTTTAACTTACAGTAACCCAGAACATGTAATTAGTATCATCATCTCTCTTTTTTTTAACCAATAAAAGAACTGAGTCTTGAAGGATTTATTTTTCCCAAAGTTTATCTAAGAAGCAGAAATGAAATTAAATAGTTTCTGACTCTAGATCCTGAGTGTTTAATCATAAAATATGCTGCCTATAATTTTCCAGAAACGTAACGAAGCAGTGGCATTGTATATGATTCCAAAGTGGTTTTCTTCCATTCAAATTCAACTGGAGATAATAAATGTGAAAAAGACATGTAAACTTAATGCACCTAATTTGAACTTCAACAAATTTACTAATTCTCAGTCAACTCAGTTAACCCACCATATAAATTTATTTTTGTGATGTTACCATAATAAAAGTAAATTTAAACAATAAAATGTAGATATACATAAAAATAAATATTACTCATTATGCAATTAACTAGCTTTCACAAAGGTAATGGGTGTACAATGGTATTATATGAAAGTGGAAAATACAGATTCATGCTATGTAAGAGTAAAAACAAGTAGTCAAGACACTGAATGGAAGTTATGCTTACAAATTGGAAATTATCATATATTATTGCATAACCTATATCTACAGGTCTAACATTTAAAATATTCTGAAAACTGAAAATAATTTGGTAAATTGGGTACCTTCTGGGCAAGAAAATCTGGATTGCAGTGATGTGAAGTGATTTCTAGTCTTGATCTATGCCACTTAGTGTGATTATATACTTTATTGAAGAAATATTTTTGATTACATGGCTCTGCCCCAAGCCCTGCTGGGATTGTTAGGTAACATAGAATATGTTTACTGTATACATTTTCTAAAGTTCAAAAAATCTTAACTCTAAAACAACATAAATACAAAAATGTTGGAAAAGTGATTGTGGTCCCAAAGTAAGATTTGAGCCTGAAATTAAGGCAATATATCTTTGTTCTTCATGCTTATAATAGACTAAATCAGTCATTTTCATTTTAGTATGAATAAGCGATCAAATAAAAAACAGGAAGCATGTTTTCATAAAGAGAAGAGAAAGGACAAAAAGAAGCTGAAACCATTTTCCTTAATTCCACCATAGTTGCTTTTAAAATATAAATATGTCCACACGGAAAAATGAAATATGGCTTCAGAAGAGAATATTAAACTTATAAATCCTGGTAACATAAGAGAAAATATGGACTTTCTTTTTTGGGGCTGGGGGTGGACTGGCATCTAAGAAGCTTGAAAGTCACCACTTTTTCTTAACAAGTAAAAAGATTAAAAAAATGAAAAATCAAGAACTCTTCTTAGATCTATATGAGAAGGGAGGTCACAGGGCAAATTGCTGTACCCAAAATTGGAGAGATCAACAGGCAATCACAGAGATCACGAATTACTGCAACAGAAATCAGTGAGCAGGAACAAGTGTCAGGATAGTGAAACCTAAACTGTAATTGACAAGTTGCTGGAGGCTTGATGGGGCCGACTCTGAGGGTTAAAATCTCCGGGGGAACACAGTCATAGGGAGAGCCCCACACTTTTGTGAATGTTGCCTCCTGGTGTTCTACCAGGTCCTCACAGTGAATACTAGAGAAAAATCCCCTTGTGTTGCTGGCAGGTGGAGAAGCAAGGGAACTATTTTGAAATAAATCAGACCATTCGGTTCCCTTAACAAAGTCCACCCTCAGGAAAAACTATTTTACTGGAGTTTAACCTGCTGTAACTTTATCAGAGCCAAACTGACCTGGGAGGAAGAGAAATAGTCAGCTGCAGCCCACTTTAGCCATCCTGTCCCAAGGGGTGGGGAGAAGTAGACTGGGAAGCATGTATAAAGTTTAGTCCAGAGGCACAAGCTCACTAAAAGATAGATAGTTAATCATAGGACTGTAGAACACTTCCTCTTCCCGTACCTTACCTCTACATTATTAAAAGATTGTTTATAGCAGCCTCTTTGGCACAGTACATATGGCTGGCTTTTAAGAAAACATTACAAGATATACTAAAAGGCCAAAACACAGTTTGAAGAGACACAGCAATCATCACAATGAGACTCAGATATGCCAGGAATGTTGGAATTACCGGACTAGAAATTTAAAACAAATATGATTAATATGCAAAGAGTCCTAATGATTAAACTAGACCGTATGTAAAAACAGATAAGCAATTTAAGCAGAGAGACGAAAATTCTAAGAAAGAACCAAAAGGAAACACTAGAGATCAAAAATGCCTTTTATAGGCTTGTTAATAGACTGAACAAGACAAAGGAAAGATTTTCTGAGCTTGAGAATATCTCAAACAAAACTACAAAACTGAAAAGCTAAGAGAAAACGGACTTACAAAAATGGAATATTGAAGAATTGTGGGACAGCTACAAAAGATGTGACATATGAATGAAGGGATTAGCAGAAGAAGAAGAAAGAGAGAAAGGAATTGAAGAAATATTTGCAACAGTAATGAATGAGCATTTCCTCAAATTAATGTCAAGCACCAAACCGCAGATGCAGAAAGTTCACAAAATACCAAGAAGGGTAAATGGCAGAAAGTCTACATCTAGACATATTATTTTCAAACTATAGAAAATAAAAGATACAAACAAATTCTCAAAGAAGCCAGAGGAACTTTTACCAAGATAGACCACAAAACACACCTTAGTAAATTCTGAAGACTATAGATTATACAATATCTGCTCTCAGACCACAGTGGAAGTAAGCTAGAAATCAATAACAGAAAGATAGCTGGAAAATCCCAAAATATTTAGAGATTAAACAATGTACTTTTAAATAACACATCGTTCAAAGAAGAAATTATAAAAGAATTTCACAAATATTTTAACTAAATAAAAATGAAAACAAACATAAAAATTTGTGGGATACAATGAGAGCAGTGCTTAGAGGGAAATTTATACTATTAAATGTATATATTAGAAAAAAAGAAAGATCTGAAATCAGTCATCTAAGCTTCCACCTTAGGAAACTAGAAAAAGGGGTGCAAATTAAATGCAACATAAGCAGAAGGAAATAAATTATAAAAACTAGAACAGAAATTAATGAAATTATAAGCAAGAAATCAAGAGAGAAAATTAATGAAACCAAGAGCTGATTTTTTGAAAATATTAACAAATCAATAGGTCTCAGAAATGAGGCCAGGCACAGTGGCTTATGCCTGTCATTCCAACACTTAGGGAGGTGGAGGCAGGAGGATCACTTGAGCCCAGGAGTTCAAGGCCAGCCCAGGCAATATGGTAAAACAAAAAAACAAACAAATGAAAAGAGGTACATCAATACACATCCCATAGACATGAAAAGGATAATCGAGGTACAATATAAAGTACTCTATGCCCAAGAATTTTATAGCCTTGATGAAACTGACCAATACCTAGAAAGACACTATCTGCCAAGATTCACATAAGAAGAAATAAGCAATCTGAATGGGTACATATATTAAAGAAATTAAATCAATGATTAATAACCTTCCAAAATACATATCACCAGGCCCAGATGGGTTCACTGGTAAACTCTACCAAGCACCTTTTAAAATTTTATTTTACTTTTAATTGACAAATAATAGTTGTATATATTTATGGGGTACAATATGATGTTATGACACATCAATCATATCAGTTGTGAAAATTGAACACTGCGATATTGACAAAAGGTGTATATATACCAATAAAACAGACTAGGGAGCCCAGCAATAGACCCACATAAATATAGCCAGCTGATCTTTTACAAAAAAGTAAAGTCAATATAATGTAGAAAAAATCATCTTTTCAACAAATGATCCTGTAATAACTGGACATCTACATGCAAAAAGAAAACAAATCAATCTAAATACAGACTTTACAACATCCAAAAAAGTGTAAACCAAAATGAATCACAGACCTAAATGTAAAATACAAAACTATAAAACTTCTAAAAGATAACAGGATAAAATCTAGGTAACTCAGTTTTTGGTGATGACTTTTTAGATACACCGAAGGCATGATCCATGAAAGAAAAAATTGATAAGCTAGATTTCATAAGAATCAATAATTTTTGTTCTGAGAAAGAGAATAAAAAGAGAAGCCACAGACTGAGAGAAAAATATTTGCAATATACATATCGGTAAAGGATTTTTATCTAAAATATACAAATGATTTCTAAAATTCTAAAATTCAACAGTAAAAAATAACCCAATTAAAAGAATGGGTTTTCATATGACAGAAATTTAGATGTGGTTCGTGGAGAGAAGGAAAGAGACATCAATATCTTCCTTTTACATCAGAGAACTCTAGAGATATTATGTCAAGTTGATGGGAAAAGGCATTGAAAAAGTTATATATTGTTCAATTTTTAAACAGTAGAAGGAGTAATATTACACAATAATCAGCTTTGGGAGGAAAGGATGAGGGTAAATTAAGAGTGATGCGAGGAACCATAGCTCTATCTTTCAAAGTGAGAAGTAAACATATATGACTAAATTTGATAAATGAAGAAACATCTATACTATTTAGAGTTAAAAAGCTAATTCTAATAAAAAATGAAGAGCCAAAATTGTTCAATCAAAATAATTGCTTCTGAACAATAGCGCTAAGAAAGAGGAAGCAGGTCGGAGACTGATTTTAATAACTTTGAAAAAAATATAAAAAATAGAAAATAAATAAAGCAAAAATTTGTTCGTGATAGTTGATTGAAATAAAACATTGGCTATAAAGTAAGAGGGCAGTGGTTACTTTAAGTCAGGTGGTCTGAAAGTGACCTGACTTATGAGAGTGGGCAGCCATGAGAAACCTGGAGTCAATGTGATCCAGGCAGAGAGCGCTCCCAGTCTTGAGCTAAGTGGAAGCCAGCTTGTCATGTTGGGGGAAGAGAAAGGACACTTTAGCAAGCCAAAAGATGCACAGGGAGGTGAGCAAGGGTCAATCATATAGTCCTTATAGGTTATGGGATAAAGTTTGGATCATATTTAAATTAAAATGGAGAAACACCAAGGGGATTAAAGTAATGAAGAGATGTTCTGCTTTTAATTTAAAGAGACAATACTGGCTAGTCTGTAAAAGATAGACTGGTGGAGGTAAAAATAAAGGCAAGAAGATAGGGTGCTCCTACCACAGGTTGGAGAGAGGTAATAGTGATTCGATGAACAGTGTTTAATGTTTGTGACATATCTTTGGAGATAAATAAGGTTTATTCATGGATTATACACGAAGTGTGAACAAAAGTGGGGAAACACTGGAGACTCCACACAGCAGGGTGATGGTAGTGATTTCAACAGCTCTGTGACAGACAGTGGTGGAGATTTTTCCTTGAAGCAGAAATCCAGAGTTCTCTTTTGTGCATCTTCAGTTTGAGATGCCCATTAGAAACTCACATGCAGATCCTATATGTGGAATTTGACATATGAATTTGTAGTTCTAAAAAAGGGTTCAACTGCTGAAACATATCTGATAATCATCAGAATGCAGGTAATACTTAAAGCCAGAAGAGCCTCATCTTAAAAAAAGAGGGTCTATAATAAAAATAGCAAATTTTATTTTGTGGTTATGATATGCCTAACACTCACCTAAAGGCTTTTTCCATGTTATGTTTGGAGGTCCCAAGACCACCTCTGGGTTTGATGATTTGCTAGGGCTGAAATAACTCAGTACGTAATCACTTTCATGGCTATGATTCATTACAGGAAAAGTATGGAAAGCAAAATCAACAAAGGGAAATGGCACATGGGGCATTTTCTGAGGGAAACCAGACACAGCATCCTTTCCCAGTGGAGTGATGTAGAATATGCTTAAACCCCCAGCAATTAGATGGGATAACACAGGAAGTGTTGCCAACCAGGTAAGCTAGTTAGAGACTCAGATCCCTGGGTTTTTATTGGAGGCTAATCACACAGGCAGCCTCTGTCTGGTACGCACAAATATTCCAGAATTTCAGAAGTAAAAGAGGTGGTCAACACAAACCATATTGTTTTCATAAATAGTTATGGTGAGCTACTCTAATCAGTTAGTTGTGTGGAAATACTCCCCAAATCCAAGTTCCCAGATGCCAACTCAGGGCCAAACTTGTGAGCAGGTCTATTTAAGGATAAGCAGTTAGGCCTTCTCTTTTGAGTCTCTTTGGGACACATATCTTAGACTACTTAAGACTCCAACAAGCTTTTCTGATAGGTCTTATCACTATCTTTATTTTACCAACAAGTAAACCATGGGAGATGCACACTCATTTTATAAGGCAAAAGGTTGGAAACTAAACTAAGGTTTGGCTCTTGTGTGATTGCTCTTAGGTACTTCATAAAGGAGCTTCTCTCAATAGAGAACAGAAAATGGCAGGGGAGGAGGGTTGATGGACTAAGCTTCGGGAATCTCAACATTTACATGTCTAAGAGACTAAGGAGGACAAACCAGTGAAATATATAGAAAACCAGGAGACCATGCAGGTCTATCTCAGGACTGACAGTGGTGTTCAGAAAATGGGCTATTTGCAATTGACATATTGGAGAGGGTGCAGCTATTGTGGATAACAAGGTTAAGTACATGTCCTCATTTTAATTTTCCTGCTTCGCCTCCTACCCTGATCTAGTACACTCTACCTCTGATCACACGGGCCACATGTTTTCCTCTTCTTACTACAGCTGATATTTGTTTACAAACACTTCTCCTGTTATCCAAAATGTTATCCCCTTACTTTCCAAATAGTAATTTCTAGCCATCTATCAAAAGCTGTCTCTAATAGAAACTTATTTAGAAAATCTTGCTGCTTCTTCCAGAGTTATCTACTTTCTCATGGAAAATGTTCTCTTTGTGTTTCTGTTACAAATTCTTTTCTTAGTTTCCTATTATGTGCTTACTTCTCACCATTTACTCTTAGCCTGGCAGCTGCTGAAGGCAGGATCTGCACCTTGTTCTATATAGTACTCTCAGAGGCTGGTGCAGTGTCCAGAACAGCAGATGCTCAATAAAGGCTGGAGGGAAAAGGGAAGGGAGGGAGAAAGGGGGCAAAAAGGAAGAAAAGAAGGCAGGCAGGAAGGTAGACAGGAAGGCAGGAAAGAAGGAGGGAAGGGGATAAAAAAGGAAGGAAGGACGAATAGACTGAGGTAGTGCTATTGAGGAGCAGTAAGGTGAAAGAGAAAAGGCGTGCTGGGGTGAGTGTATGTAAACATTTTCTATAACTCAAGGCACCCAAGGCTTTCTCAGATTGGAAAACTTTAAATAGTAGGGATGTGTAGATTGAATTTGTATTCACCTAGCTGGTTGCTACAATACATTTCTTTTCTTTATAAAATACCCAGTCTCAGGTATTCTGTTAGAGCAACATAAAATAAACTAATACAGCGGTGTTATACAAACAAATCTATAAATGTTACTTTTCATGTATACACAAGCACCTGGGAGCTATAGATTGAAGTCTCCTAGGCATTGTTTTCCTTCCACTGGAATCCCTCTTGGACTAGGTATAATGCAAAATCTCCTTAGAAGAGAGTGAGAGGAACATTTTAAAGAAACAGTACATTCTTATCTAGTGTAAATGAATTTATCAGGATTTTTTACAGGGATACCCCCCTTTTTTTAAACGTCGGGTTGAAGGAGAAAATACGAGGACACTGGGAATCTAAAAATAGCCAGAAAAAAAGAAGAAATTATCCACAACCAGGAGGCTAAGAGATTAGAGAAATTAAATTGTGTACTTTACAATTTTACCTAGAACTAGTTCAGATTGAAACATACCATCTTCTGAAATACAACCAAAAATCCCTATGTAGAGAATCCAAAGGTGACATGGATTCTGTTTCCAAAGAGGTTTAGAAATTGGTAGAGAAAATTCCAGTTATATATTATAGTTAACCACACTGGACAGGGAAATGTTGGATAAAGGCTCAGTATAAAACTGGTCAGCCTCAAAATTCTCATTTGAAACCTCATGCAACTCTGGGTGAGTATTAGGGTCTGTCCAGAAAACATGAACTATTAGGGCTGGGAAGGAAGGTACTCTTCTATTTTACCTGTGTAGTGTGTGTATTAGTCAGGGTTCTCTAGAGGAACAGAACTAATAGGATGTATATATATATATATATATATATATATATACACACATACACACACATATATATACACCTATATATATATAGAGTAGTTTATTAAGTATTAACTCACAGAATCACAAGGTTCCACAATAGGCTATCTGCAAGCTGAGGAGTAAGGAGAGCCAGTCTGAGTCCCAAAACTGAAGAACTTGGAGTCCGATGTTCAAAGGCAGGAAGCATCCAGCATGGGAGAAAGATGTAGGATGGGAGGCTAGGCCAGTCTAGTCTTTTCAAGTTTTGCTGCCTGCTTTATATTCTAGCTGCTGCACTGGCAGCTGTTTAGATGGTGCCCACCCAGATTAAGTGTGGGTCTGCCTTTCCCAGCCCACTGATGCGAATGTTAATCTCCTTTGGCAACACCCTCACAGACACATCCAGGATCAATACTTTGCATCCTTCAATACAATCAAGTTGACAGTATTAGCCATCACTGTGTGGTATGTATTAAGGAATCTTTCTCAGATGGGGCTAAATTTGATGACATGGGAAGATGGCAGGGCTACCTAACCTTAGCTTCACAGTTCTCCCATGCTCAGATGTTCCCTTCCTTCCCTACAAAGTGCAGCCTCCTCTGAGGCTACTGGGTTTTCTTGTAAACACGTTCGCTACAGCTGGACCCTGTTGTACAATCTGTTTCTCCACCATTAAAAGGAGAGCAATGAAGAGTTTATTAGATAAAAGCACTTACTAAATTAACTTTGGCCCAAAGTGGCCCTGTACATAGTGAACTGTACCCTAGCTTGATGTGCTTGATGTGTAAACAAGTTGCAACTTAACCTAGAAGTATACACCTTCTTAATCAAGCAGCTGAGTTCCAGGAAAGCTGCCAAATTATGCCCAAATAAGGCAAATGCCTGACTGTACCAATCAGGTAATCGCTGTCTCTCATTTTCTGTTTTCTGGTTATAAATATAGCTTAACACATAGGAGGTGGGGGGCATTTCTGAATCATCGTGGGTCTTAGGTGGTGCCCAGTTCTTGAAACTTTTCTTGCTTAAATTAACTTTGTTAAATTCAACCAGTCTGAGGGATTTTTTTCTTCAAACTGAGCACAATAAATCAATTCTATATGTTTTTATTACTCCTTTTTTAGACATTCCATTTTTATTGTGAATAAATTGATTTCTACCTAATTGGATTTCCATTAAAGAAAATATGAGAGAGGAAGAGAGAGAAACAAAAAACACTGCATCCTATATCATTCTTTTTAAAATGAGTAGAGACTTAACAGATGGGAAAAGTGTATTCAGAGAAATTAACAGCATTTTAACTGCAAGGACCTGGCAGGTATTGTGGGAGAGTGAAAGGATACTTAACAGCTTCTGCCCTCTCTGAGCTACTATATCATGATTCTAACACTGTAGGTGTTTGTTATTTCATAGCATCTTTAAACAAGAACAAAATATGCGTTGCAGAAGACTGTAACAACATTCTGTAAAGGGATCCACACCAAGTGGTATTTCTTTAAGATGATCCCCATTTTAAACCATTTGCAATTGCATTTCTTGTCAGAACTCTCCACTCCTCAACATTGAAGTCAGCTTCCTGAGGCTTCCCCCAACCACCATTTGCAGTGTATCCTCAGACATTTGCTCTGGTACTCTCTGATTTCCTCTTTTATTTTCCTTAGAATATTTGTCACTATCTAGATCATTTTATTCATTCATTCATTCATTCATTCATTCATGTCCTTGTATGCTGGGGAATGTAAGCTCTCTGAGGTTAGGGCTTTCTCAGTCTATCACTCTTATCAACGGGGAATTATAACATTTTCTCGTACTTTGGAAGTGCTAAAAAGACAGAATGAAGTTTTGACCACTTATAGTGGATTCTGATGCTGCCTCCTGTAATTCCTCAGTAAGAAACTGTTTATGAGCCTTAATCAATTTCCTAAGGACAGTTTGTCAAATCAGAGCCATCTTCTGTGTGGAGTACTTCCTACTGCTCCCACTATTCTAGCGGGTTCTGAATGCCGTTTTTGTGCCCCAGGGCCCTAATCACCCTAAAGTGATATTTTATTATGTTTATTAAGTGCTTTTTAAGTCTGAAAATGGTAGAGTTATATTACAACTCAGTTTCTCTAATAAAGAAACTTGTCTGCTTTATCTGTATGCTTCCTCAATGAGACTAGCTTAAGAATCTTCTGGGAAAAAAAGTCTCTCTTTGTTTTCAGTCACACTGAAATTTAATGCTTGCCAAGCAGTTTATCTGTTTTATAGCAATAGCTTAGGATGTTACTGGTTAATCATTTTGTGTTCAACATCATGTTCATTACACATGCATGTGAAAAAATACCTGACTCATATGTTACAAGCTGTTAGCTCCTGGACTGACCTTCCCCCGAGACTTTTGTACCCACCACCCACTGTTGAGCTGTAAAGTGTTTAAATTTTAGGTCTTTTTCAACCTTTGAAAATGGGGAGCTTGCATATAAAATTCAACATAACAAGCTTCTCTTAAAAATCTAAAGTTCTGGGGGAAATAGGCCTATGTTCCTACATGTTAATGATCTGCTTGGGCTGGTAGTAACTGCTCACTTTGGGTGGTCATGAAGACCCCAGTAGGCCAACTTCTCAACTGTTCCTGTTGCTCCTCCCCAAATGAAATCCAGCATCCGTCCCTTTCATCATCATAGATCTGTGTTCTTCCAGTTATTTTGACTGCTTGAGCTCTGGAGGATCTAAATTTTGGGTCATGTCCTAAAAAATTTAGTAAAGCTAATATAATTTTATATTTCACTTAAAAAGTCAACTATAACAACACTAAATATTAGTAATATATTTATTGTATTATTCATAAGCCATTTAGAAAAAAAAATTGTGGGACAGACTGGTCTCTGCAGAAGACCACCTCTGCAGGGGAAAATATTACTTACATGGGCGTAGGAATTGTTTTGCTCAAAAAACAAAATCATGTTATATTGAATAAAGGCATAGCTTTACTCATAGAGTTAAAGGAGTAGCATGTTTTCTCCTAATACATTCAAATCATAGCCTGTTGAAGAAGACTGAGCTTGTTTTGAATCCTTACTTTCCTTTTACCCTCTTTGAGACTTTGACAAGTCACTCAAACTCTATGAATATCAGATCTTTCATTTGTGGGTTAGTAACATGTGTATGTACTTCTATGAGAGCCAATAAGGAAAAATGCCAATATATATAAAGTGCTTAGTCGTGTATCTAGCCAAAATCCAGATGGTTCTTGATTAGTAATGGTTTGACTTATTTTTTCAAATTTATGTTCGATATATTGGACATAACCCCATGGTAAATCAAGAGACATCTGGACTTAATGATGGTCCCACTTAAGATTTTTCAACTTCGTGATGGCTTTATCAGGGTAGTAAACACACTTTTAACTTATGATATGTTTAACTTATGATAAGTTTATCAGGCTATAGCCCCATCATAAGTATAGGAGCATCTGCAGTCTGTCCTCTGTATTTTAGTCTTCACCATATCCCCGTTTTCTAAATGTCATCCTATTTAGAAAGCATCCAAGCTGATGCCAGGATAAAAAGCGAATTTTAAAAAGCCAATTTTATGTATTTAAACTTTTTTTTGGTCTAAAGACAAGGTAATATTGAAACTGGTCCAACTGTCCCATATAACTGATGTTTACTGTTTTTGTTTTTTGTTTTGTTTTGTTTTTGTTGGGGGTTGGGTTTTTGGGTTTTTTGGATAAACACAGAAATTAACCCCACTGGTCTGAAAGCTTGAAATTTATATTTGTCTTACCTGAGTTCTTTCCTCAGGAAACCAACCCTCAGGCCCCCTAGATAGTATCAAGAAACTGAAATTCACCAGATCACTACATCAGGACAATGAGATTCCAGACCTATCGTGATTCCTGTTTACCAACTCCTCTTCCTTATCCCTCCCTAATGCCTCTTTTCCCACAGGTACTTACATTTCTTCCCTGCTGTATAAATCTCTAGTTTTAGTCAGTTGAAGAGATGGATTTAAGAATCACACCTCATTTCCTTGTCTGCAACACCTGTATAAAGCTCTCCTCCCTGGCTCAGTGATTGACTTCCTGTGCTGCAAGCAGCAGGACCTAGACAAAGCTCCTGGCATTCAGGTAACAATATTAGTACCGAAACACAAATACGTACAGTCATTTATACCAAATATGTACCAAAAACATACCAAGGTGAAATATTGTTTATGGTTCTCATATTGCTGGATTTCATGAAACAACATTTTTGAAAGATTAAACAGAATTTTTTTCTTTTCTTTCTGAGCAAGAACATTCACACACAGTAAAACAAAAGGGTTGTCATTCATTATTACCAACATTTTATATAAGAAATGATATTTTAATAACCCCCAAAAGGTAAAAAAGACCCAGTCTGAAAATGAGACAGCTTTGTAAGTTCAATCAATTTAACCTAGTGACAAACTTTCCAGATGGTTCTAATTATTCTTATTTTTCTATGACTGTAAAAACATTGTTAGAACCTAGAGTCAGACAGTAGATCAGTGTTTGAGAACCATTTGTGCAGGCTACACTTAAAGTTTTTGTTTCAATAGCCAACGCTACTGATGTATATTTAATTTATATTTGGAAAAATTAACTTGACCTAATTAGATGATTATGTCCCTCAAACAATCACACAGTCCTTCACCACTGAGATTAAGTGAATGTTCATAAATTTCTGTGCTTAAAACTAAAACCACCATGAGATACCTTACTCCTACAAGGATGGCCATAACTAAAAAATAAAAAAAAAATAGATGTTGGCATGCATGTGGTGAAAAGGGAACACTTTTACACTGCTGGTGGGAATGTAAACTAGTACAACCAGGATAAAAAACAGTATGGAGATTCCTAAAAGAACTAAAAGTAGATCTACTATTTGATCCAGCAATCCCACTACCGGGTATCTTCCTAGAGGAAAAGAAGTCATTATATGAAAAATACCCTTGCACATGCATGTTTATAGCAGCACAATTCACAATTGCAAAAATATTGAACCAGCCCAAATGCCCATCAATCAAATGGGTAAAGAAAATTATACATATATACATACGTGTGTGTATGTGTAGTGTGTATGTGTGTTTCCTTCAGCCAAGGAAATGAGACATCATTCTTAAATCCATCTCCTCAACTGACTAAAATTAGAGGTTTATACAGCAGGGAAGAAATGTAAGTACACACACACACATACATGCACACCGTGGAATACTACTCAGACATAAAAGGAGCAAAATCATGTCTTTTGCAGCAATTTGGATGGAGTTAGTGACCAATATTCTAAGTGAAGTAACTCAGAAATGGAAAACCAAATACCATATGTTCTAACTTAGAAGTGCGAGGTAAGCTATGAGGATGCAGACATATACACAGTGATATAATGAACTTTGGCAACGTGAGGTTGGGGGATGAGAAGTGGGTAAGGGATAAAATACTACCAGAGTACACTGCTCAAGTGACAGTGCACGAAAATCTCAGAATTCACCACTAAACAACTCATCCATGTAATCTAAAACCACCTGTACCCCCAAAACTATTGAAATTAAAAAAAAATATTCTGTGCTTGATGGGTTGGATGGGGGAAGGAAAGAGATATGGTATGTCTTCTCTCCCAGGTCCTTTCTGGGTTATCTTAATGGGTTATCTTGGGAATGAGGCTTGAGGAAAACACTTTTAAAAAGGGGGCATGATCCACTGACTTTTTTTTTTTTAATGCCTTTCTTTTTTTAACTGCTTAGAATAAAATTATGGCTGTGGAGCATATATTATAAGATGCTGAGTCAAAGGCCCCCAAAATCACAAATCCTTAGCCCTGACATGCTTGAGATGCTGAACCAGTACTAGTAATTGCCTATGCTATGTTTGCTTATAATGTAAGAAACATATATCCTTTTATGCTAATGCTGTTGTAGTCAAATCACCTCCTTGCAGCCAAACTCAATCCCTAACTCACACAAATATAATAAATAGAAAAACAAAAAAAATAATTTCCTCAGTAGCAAAATATTAAAAAAAAAGCAATGGGAAGACTATATTACTTCACATCTTAAAGATTGGTGGATAATTACATTTGTGTCATAGGTCAGTTTGTTTTGTGAGACATTTAAAAGTACAGTCTGGATGAGCTCATTATTTGTCATTTCATATATAAGAGTTAGACAAAAAGGCGTGCTTTTTACATAGGCTATGAGTTGAATTGTGTCTCCTACCAAAAGACATATTGAAGTCCTAACCTCTATTACCTGAGAATGTGACCTTATTTGGAACTTGGATCCTTTCAGAGGTAATTAGTTAAATTAAGAAAAGGTCATTCTGGAGTAGGATAATCCTTAATGCAATAGGACTGATATCCTTATAAGAAAAGAAAAAAGAGACTCACAGGAAGAATACCATGTGACAACTGAGGTAGAGAGGAAGTGCTGCAGCTGCAAAAGCAAAGGAATGCCGAAGATCAATGGCCACCATCAGAAGCCAGTAAGGGGCAAGGCAGGATTCCATGCAGAGTCTCAGGGGAAGTGCAGGTCTGCTGATGCCTTGCTTTTGGAGTAGACTCCAGAACTGTAAAAGAATAAATTTCTGTTGTATTAGGCCACGAGTTTGTGGTACTACATTAGAGAAACCCTAGAAGATAAATACAACACAAAAACCAAAATATTTATATTCTAAAATGTATTTTAAGAGTTGCAATTAAGAGTATTATGAGTCTAATTTGAATAACTTTTCTGGTTATAGATTTTCTGATTTTTTTTGTCTTACATGGTATAGAGACACTAAAAGAAAAAAATAAAAACTGCCTACAATCTCAATATCCACAAAAGTCACTCACATTTTACAGTATTTGCTTTCAATATTTTGTGTACAAAATTTGTATATGATAATTTTATGAATGTGTATATGACTGCCCATTTGTGTATTATGTGGGTGAAAGAAAAAGAAAGACATCATGTAAATAATGTATTACATTCCTCTCTCACTCTTTTGTCCCTTTCTTCTATAAATATTCAGAGAACACTGTGAATGCCCAGGCATTCTCCTGGGTACTAGGAATACAGTGGTGAATATATCAGGCAACATGTATTGTTTTGATATGTTTTGCAATTTAATTCCTTATATGAAAGACACAGGCTGGCATTTCCAAAACAGTGTTAAAACGGAGCGGCACAGGTTGTTATGGGAGAACATACACTGGTACCAAGACCCCATAGGAAAATTTGAGAAATATTTTTGGGAGGAAATCAAGCCTCAGCTGATGTCAGATTGATGAGCAGCAGTTGGCCAGGGAGAAAGAAGCAAAAGTGTTCCAAGCAGATGGAGAAGCTTAGACAAAGACTTGTGGGCAGCAGAGACAGGACATATTTGAGGAACATAAAGAAGCTCAGCATTTCCAGAATATTAGTAGAAGGGGGAGCAGTGGCAAGAGATGAGGTATGCAAGGGCCAGGCCATGCAGGGGCTTCTAAATGCTATATTAAAGTTGGATTATCTTAATACTGTGAGACGGGAAAAAGTTCATGTAGATGAAATTAAATGATCAGATTTGCATTTCAGGGAGATCTGTTGGATAATGTGGGGAGTTATTGAAAAAGAGGAAGGCAGCTGACATGGCCTGTGGGAAAGATGATGGCATCCTTAAATGTGGCATCAATAGGAGAGTTGACATTGGCATAACAAACTTATTAACTAACTAAAAACACAGTGAGGGCAAGAGAATGATGAGGGTTAATCCCAGATTTCTGGCCTGGCCTATTTCTATTTATTTATTTATTTATTTATTTATTATTTTTTATGTTTTCTTTCTTGAGACAGAGTCTCACTCTGTGGCCCAGGCTGGAGTGCAGTGGCACAATCCTGGCCCACTGCAACCTCCATCTCCTGGGTTCAAGCGATTCTCCTGCCTTGGCCTCCCGAGTAGCTGGGATTACAGGAGCCCACCACCACATCCAGCTAAGTTTTGTATTTTTGGTAGAGATGGGGTTTCATCATGTTGGCCAGGCTGGTCTCGAACTCCTGACCTCGTGATCTGCCCACCTCGGCCTCCCAAAGTGCTGGGATTATAGGCATGAGCCAACACTGGCCTGGCCTACTTCTTGATAAGTCGTGAGAAGGCATAGAAGACACAGGAAGAAGAGAAAGTTTAGGGTGAATGAGACAACAGAGATAATGAATATTTGACATTTTGAATTTGAAGTGACTTCCAGGCATCTATATGGGTAGACACTTAGGGAATGTGGCTAACCCATAATAAAGAATTTTGAGCCAGAGATTAGCATTTTGGACTTGTCAGTAATATTTGACAGTGTTGAAGCTTTGAGACTAGATAAGAGTGTACCTTGAGAATATTGGGACTGAAAAGAAAACGATTGACTGAATTTGGAGAAGCACCCAGATTTCAGGGGCGGGCAGAGTAAGTGAACTTACACCAGGAACAGCAAAGCAGAAACCAGAACAGAGAAGGAATCAGGAGTCTTTGATGTTATAGAAGTCAAGTGGAGATTGCATGTCATGGAGGATATCATCATATGGTTATAATGATTCAAACAATTTAGTTCTGAAATAAGACTTGGAAGATCAATGGAAATTGCAGTGAGTCTAGAAAGAAATATATAAATATATATGGGAATGTACTTTATGACAAAAGCAACCATTTAAATTGGTGGCAGAGGAGCTGGATTATTTATAATAGTAAATGCTATTGGGTCAAGTAACTAGTTGTATGGGAATATGTATATAGGACATACTTTTTCTTCTTTTCTTATGCTAATACAATTTCCAGATGCACCAGAAATGTACATAATTACAAAGTAAGGTGTCAAAGTACTTTAAAGTCATACTAGTGAATTTTTTAAACAGTGTTGGAATAGGAAAAGCCATTTTACATATGACATGAAGGCCAGGAACCATAAAGAAAAAGATGCATACATATAGGTAAATACAAACTTAAAACGTATCTATAGAAAAAATGACACAAAATGCAGATCAACAAAATATGAAGGAAACCTTACAATATATTTGGAAAAGGACTACTATCACTCCTGTACATGAGGCTTTAAAGAGCTAGTAATAGTAGTGTTTGCCATTATTATTATTTATTATTTTCATTTTCTTTCCAGTACAGCTTAAAGTCCCTTGTCATCATTTTAACATATCTCTCTCACTCAGAAGCATCTTCAACACATTTGCTTTTTCCTGTCCCATTCTTGGACTTTTGAATAAATATAATAGTCTGTATTTCAAAGGCATTTTATAAACTAACGTACATATTTTTAAAGCCCTCAGAAACTACATTTCAATATTCTATGTAATTCAAACCATGCCTGAGTTAAGAATTTTCTTACTCTGAATCACATAGTAAGATAAAGATGGGATTTTCCAGCATGCTACATTTTATGGATAGACACCAAGATCAGTTAGTTTGAATTATTCCTCTACATGAATCATTCTCGGGAGTAACTTAGGCACTTAGAGTGAATAAACTTTGGTTCTGAAAGAGTTAATACAACTCCTTAACTTTCCCACAATTGTTTTCATGTATTACTGGAATTAGACGTCATATATAATATGTATTCATTGTAAAAAGTCTCTCTCTTACAAAAGGAACTACTGTAATTCAAGAAACCATTTTAAACTAATATGTATTTCATGATTTCCAGTTTATTGCATGCTTAAAAATATTGTACTGTTTGAATCCCACAACAATCTTTTGAATAATGAGAATATAATTTTGTAAGATCCCCATTTTATACATGAAGCTGGTAAGGTTAACATAAATGATATAAATTGCTAAAGGACATTCAGCAAGAAAAACTTCAAGCCTAGCACTGTAGCCTGTTTCATTATTTTTATTCTATTTATGTTTAATTGTTTATAATATATTTTTTGAACCCATGGTTGTTATTACCTTTGTCCTTACAAGAGAAAGAAGCAAAGAGAGTTAAGCTACATTATTGGTCACAAGATATTGTATCAGAAGAGAGAATCTAATAGCATTACAGGGTCATTGCTTTCTAATCATAAAATACAAATAGCATAGAATCTCTAATTTAAAAACATATTGATTATATGTATTAAGATCATGGTTGCTTTTAGCAAATATTACCAATCCAAAATTGAGGGAATTTTGAAGGACTGTTTCACAGTGATCAGAGGTATACTTGGAAGCTCTAATTCCTACTGCTAAGAAGGTAACACACTCATCCTCTTTTCAAGCGCATGGTTTCCTAACACATCCGAAGCATGGTTAATGATTTTTTTCTCAAACGTGACCATGTTGGCCTCTTTGACTGTAGAAATCACAGAGGAAATTCATTACCTTTAGGAACTTGTCTTTTCTTCACATTTCTTTTTTAAAAAAAGAAGAAATACCAACCATGGTGTAGGTCATGCTGATGGAACAGCTAAAGACCTTTATCCCCTCCCTGAAGAAGCTCACAGTGGAATGAAAGCCATCAGGCGCGTCAATCAACAAGGATGGTAAATGCACGTGTACATCAAGGAATGCATTACTAAAACAAATAGCACTAAGCAATCTCTTATAAATCCTCCCAAATCTAGCAGTGTTCAAAGTTCAATTATTACTGTGGACAAGACATCCATGCTAAAGTGAATCTAGAATTTCACCTAATTTTCTTCCTTACTCATTTCATAATTTCCACTCTATATTTTAATTTATTCTCTTTTCCCCTTAGCAGAAACGTACATATTAAACTACTAGATAGATAACTGGTTAAAGTAGAATTGTAGCCTTTTTTTCACAACACGTAATTTTGGGTAAATCCAAACCAACGCAACAGCAATTTTTAGAAAAAAGCCACAACGGACACTATACCTACCCACAACAGATAGTTATTCTCTATCTGCCTGAGAACGTGTGTTTGTTATAATCACTTCATGACAAGAACAACAAATGAGTCTCCCAAGGCTGCCAAGCCTAGAGCTGTCAGCCGGATCTACAAAAACAGAGCCTCCGTATTTGTGGCTTTCTGACTGACAGCCACGTTTTCAACACTTCTGGTGATCAGTTGGGTTCAGTGTCACCTACTATGTGATTTGTAATTTAAATTCCCAAGTAATTAGAGCCTAATATTACTCCTTAAACATTTCTCATTCTCCTTTTTAACTTGTTTATCTACCTGTTCTTGAAAATAGCTTTTCTTCCTAAAACAACCTTTTAGCTTCACTTGAAATAAAGGTTGAGTAGTAATGAATTAGTCAGGGCTGTTTACTAACCTTCACAGCTCACTGAAGGTCTTTGGTAACAGAGGTATAGCTAAATAGCTAAATATAAGTAGGGGACAGTGAATATGTGTGCATGCCTATATTTGTTTTTTAGCTACTTTTTTTCGCTGGTGCAGAACAAGTGCAACATGAATCAGAAAAAAAAAAAAAGGAAATCACAAAGACTTTGAGAAGATAATATGCTGCGGCTGATGAAACATAAAAATCTAACCTGCCAAGCCACTGACAGTCTATTCTCCTTTCTCCTCTGATGCTTTGCTCTGCAAAGTGTCAGGGCAGTGACTGAAGCAGAGAAGCAGCAGCTTGTTTTCCCTTCACATTAATTTTATCTTCCTAAAACTTAACCACTTATCTTCTAAACTATTTTATCACTCACTTCCCCTCCAACACACACTAAATGCTCTAAAGCTATGTTATCCTCAGAAGCCCTTTCCCTTGTGTCAGGCCCAGTTTTTTCTTGATGAAAACTTTTAAGGATGGCAACCAATGGTTATATAAGAATCTTCCCAATTCAGAATTCAACCAAAAATTTCAGGGTGCTTTACTCTGAAAAATAAAGATAAACGAGGTAAATGTTAAGACACATCTAATTTAGGCTGTGATGAACAGTACAACTGGTCGATTAGATTGGCAAACTATATACCATGATCATATATCTTATACAAAACAAACTATATGTTTGTATGTATGTATATGTGTGTGTGTGTGCGTGTGTGCGCATGCGTGTGTGTGTGCATACTCTGAAATAACATACACAAATAGGCCAACAAAGGTTAGCTGTCCAATGGAGTGGGGGCATGTAAAGAATAATTTTTTTGACAATATAATGAATTTTATATTGTGCTTCAACTCATATATTATGTATGAATAGTGTTTTCAAAGAAGCATAGGTTAATTTTTTTATTAAAAAAAGAAATTTAAGAATATGGAATTACATAACCCAAGTTGAATGTATTAGCACATAATTTTTTTTTCAGCTTATCTGACCAGAATTCCTGACCCTCAGACTTGCTACAGGCAAAATTTCCAAATAGAAACTGTATTTCAAAAATAATGACAAGGATTAAAGTTTAGAATAGAAATATTTTTATCAATTCTAATAACACATGAAATGGTTAACAAAGCATATTGCTTCCATCTAATACACAGCAAACCTCTAAGTGAAAGGAAAAAAAGACTTTCAGATATAAAAAAAACATAGGAGAGAGAAAGGTCTTTTAGAATTTTCAGGAATTCAGTCACTCTATTAGAGATCTGAGGCCTCTGTGCAGAATACATTTGCTCCCTTCCCCACCTAAATTGTACTTGTACTTAGCTTTAAAAAAACTTCAACAAATAATAATTATATTTATGGGGTACAATAGGATGTTTTGATATATGTTTACACTGTGTAGTGGTTAAGCTAATTAACATACACATCACCTCACATACTTATTTTTTGTGGTGAGAACATTTAAACTCTACTCTTTTAGCAAATTTGAAATTATACAGTATTGTTAACTATAGTCATCAAGCTGTGCAATAGATCTTGCAAATTTCTTCCTCCTGTCTAACTATAATTTTGTACCTTTTGAAAAACATCTCCCCTTTCCCCATCCTACCAGCCCCACGTTCTCTGGTGACTACCATTCTATTGTCTATTCCAATGAGTTTGACTTTTTTAGATAACACTTAGCTTAATTCAGGGTTTTCAGCCTGGAGCTCATGGTTCCCCAAAGCATCACTTCATAGAGAGAATTCAGAGAGTCTGTGAACTTGGGTAAGCAAAAAGTTATTTCTTTATTTTCATCTAAATCTACCTGAAAGTTAACATTTCTTCAATTACAAATGTCAACATCAACCACTGTTGCATCAGCAGTACCAGCAACTTTGCCACCAAAAAAAGATACCACAGGTATTTTTACATCATCTTTCAATTGTTACATAGATCTCAAAATGCTACTAATATTTACGCATATTACCACCTCAGAACTACACTGGTTGTTATGTCTGTTGCTAGATCTTGTTTGCAATGCTTTAATAAAGCAGCATAAATTTGTTTTTAAAAATGTTTTGACAACGGTATTTTATTATTCTTGATTTCCTTGAAAATTCATGTATTTCATTATATGCATCCAAAGATATCCTATGAAAAGACCTATAAGCTTCACGAAATTGCCAAAGAAGTCCATGGCACAAATAAAGTTAAACCCTCTTGTTGCCATTTAGTCTGAAGCAGCCAATTCTCTTTAGATGTCATTCCCCTGTTCCCACGTTGCCCTGTGGGTTCCTCCATCCAAGCCCTTACCACCACACAGTTATCCTCAGTTTCTTGTCTGCTGCCCTAATACCTAATACAATGACTGACATAAAACAGATGCACAAGAAAAGATTTTGCAAGTGAAAAGAACCAGCAACATAAAGGAACTGGGTACCCAAGGTAAAGAGAGAATTAATATGTGAAATAATCCACAGCCTTTGCTGGATCCAGTCCCTATCAATATAATTAACAGAACTGAATTCTGACAGTTTGAAACTAGTTTTATTGCCCCAAATATTATACTAAAAATAGAAAATATTTATATTCTCCCCAGTAAACAACATTTTTTCTTATACACATAACATATTATCCTTCTATTATATTTACCATATTGTGCCTTTGGCCAGAGTTGTAAATATATGTATGTATACATATAGACACATACATACATGTCTGACTATACATGTGTGCATTTTTCTCAAAGTAGATTATAAACTCCTCTGGTGTAAGTACTAAGGATTATTATACAATTTTTTAAAACCATGTTTTTTTTAGTTTAACTGGAGGAGTGACAACCTGCCAGAAGCTGAGCAACGACCTCAACTCAATTTTATAGGTTCTTTTTATACTTAAGTATAACTGAAGATTCTTCTATCTCTCCGCTCACCCTTGACAAGAATTGCTTTTATGGTCCACAGGGAAGGGAGGCCCTTGTAAAATAAACAAACTTTAAAATATAAAGTGGCCGAACTTAAAAACACTTTTGAAGAAGAAAAGAAAAACTAAGAGTTCTGAAGAGAACAAATATATGTTTGTTTGTTAAAGTAGAGGAATACTCTTTGTTAAAGGAAGCAAATGAGATACTAACATTGATGAGCTGGAAAAGGGGCTTCAGATTTGTTCAGGGAATACAGTGCTGGTGCATGTGTTAGTTGAATTTTCAGCAGTTAGAACAAAAATTCTATTAATGATCGAGAGGCTAGTTTCCTCAACAGGATAATGTCTTTTTTATTTTTAATCACTGAATTCACCAAAATGTTTGATACCATATTTTACACATAGTATGTACTCAGTGTTTGTTAAAATGATTCAATGGTTTATTGTCTGAACCCACTTCTCATCTCCGGTGGTATAAAATGGGACCACATAGTGAAATAAACCTGAGTTACTCTATTTGAGATTCAACTGCTGGGAGACATACTTAACACGTGCAGATTCCATCCACGACTCATAAGACTTTCTGATGAAAAGTCTACATGCATCAGTAAATCTAATCTAAAAATGGCAAGATCCGTAGGACTACATTCTTCAGATATATATGCAATTATTAACTGTTTCGCAAGAATTATTGCAATTTCTTGTCTTGACAAGTATTGTAGAAGATTAAGCTTTTAAATCTTCCTTTACCTGGCAATTCATATCGTTAGCACCATGTTTTCCCAGGCATTGTAATCTAATTTATGTAATAAAATTAGATTACTACCTATTCTACATGGTTCTCAAATGCTCTAATTGGTAAGAAAACTGAAATCAAATTAATAACTTGCATAGTGAAAAGGGGTTTGGACCAGGACTTCCGTATCATGGGTTCTAATTAATCAGGTGACCATATGTCTGTGTGCCATGTGTACTGTTAGGTCCCCTTGAATTTCTAAAATGTTTTGTACCTGTGAAGTCCAAAACGGAAGATAAAGTTGTTATGACAGAGTGTCATTTGACTCAGTGCCATCACAGACATCACTTCTAGCTCCTTAAGCAGAACTACTTTTAAGTCTCATTTGATATCATGTCAGGATAGGATCAATAAAGTCCCAGACTATAACCAGTTAACTATTCCTGGAGCAATGCTCGTTACCAAACAACTCAGTCAAGCTTATTAGAAGACTCAAAGACAGCCAACTCTCATGCACTTATATTTTTGAATATGCAAAAAAATTTAATTAAATTGTAGTAAGCATGAGCAAAAGATGTGACTAAGACACACTACGAAGCATTTATGTTTTAAAAATTATATATGGCCAGGTGCGGTGGCTCACGCCTGTAATCCCAACACTTTGGGAGGCTGAGGCATGTGGATCGCCTGAGGTCAGGAGTTCAAGACCAGCCTGACCAACATGGTGAAACCCCATCTCTACTAAATACAAAAAATTAGCCAAGTGTGGTGGCGCATGCCTGTAATCCCAGCTACTTGGGAGGCTGAGGCAGGAGAATCGCTTGAACCCGGGAGGCAGAGATTGCAGTGAGCCGAGATTGCACCATAGCCCTCCAGCCTGGGCAACAAGAGTGAAACTCTGTCAAAAAAAAAATTACATATGTGCTTCTGAAAAACAGAAATGTATACCGATTGAACTGGAGCACTAAAATTAAGACATCCTGCTGTGATTACATTTAAATCTGGGGAGCAGAGGGACATGATGACCATTAAAAAAAAAATGCAGCTGGAAGCAAACATCACTGTGTTGATCATGTGAAAACCTGACCCAGGAAGGGCCTGTCAATCATCCTACCTGCACACATGAAAACAACACTGCCAAGGGAAATCCCTTCTCTCCATTTCAAGGGCTACTATCCCCTAACTTGGTATTTCTCAAACTTTAGTGGGTATAAAAATCAATTTGAGGGTTCATTTTGAGTGTATATTCCTATACCCATTACCAGAGATTCTGATTTGACAAATCTAGAGATTAGGACTTTGACAAAGCTACAGTTCAGTACTCTTCATTAAAAATAAAAATCCTCAGGTTATCATGACATGAGAATTCTGGGGATCATATTTTGAGAAATGCCATTCAAACATATGTTGGAAAGAGAGAGGGTGGTGGTGCTGGATATTTCTGTGTGGCTAGGGTGTCCTGTAACCTCTAGGTAATACGTTGCCTCTTTGTCCCCAGCTACTAGGTGCGCCTCCACTTTAGTTCTGAAAGTGATTGTCTTTTGGCTCTGAAATATCAAGAACTACTACTTCTTGATCATCCCAGAGATAGGCTGCTGCTTGCTCTGCAAATGCGAATGAATGTGAGCCAAACCACATTTGCCGTATTGCCTCACCCCTTTGTTCTCAACATAATTCCCCTTAAGACTGTGCAGGTTTCAGCAAAGTTAGTGGTAACTAAAGGCAAGTAAAACATAGAAAGGGAGAAACACATTTCATTTGACTGTCTGCCAAACCTAAGCACACAGAACTGATAAATCTTTTAGAAAAGTTATATTTCAGACTCATCCAGATTCTTTGTTTCCCTTTCATTCATGACTGCCTTTTCCAAGTGTATAGGTGCACCTCTTCCCAGGGAAACTATAGCATCTGGTACCTCCCTCCAATATAATGCACTGGGATACCACAATCTTCAAAAGTCCAAAATTTCCAAAGACTGAATTATGACATTAGTGATGACTATGTCTGTGGCATTTGTGTAGTAACTGAATTAAATCGCTTTCTCAATAAATTGCAATCTCTTTGACAGCAAAGATCCCACTCTCTCCCCTTTTAAACCCTTGTACCATAGGCTTTCACATGCAATAGTCCTCATAGATGACAGTACAATTCAGTGTCCTGGAGAGTTGACAAACAGAAAAGCCAGGATGGGTTTATCATTATTTATTTAATTTTTCTCTGAAGAACGAATGTTGTATTATTAGCCCTAGAAAGTTAATGAAGCAGGGTCCTTGGGCATTTCCATCAAGATCACTTCAACACAGCAAATAATGATCCCAAACTACCTCACATAAAATACCAACTATTTTCTAAGGTTTTGGCTAAATTGTAGAAATAATTGAGTGGGTTAAATGCCACTTTTAAGTGTTATGTACTCACTTGGAATTTACAAGGAGTCTCAGATAACTAAAAGTGCAGGAAGAACAAGTAAATCCCCTTAAAGAACATTGAATCCTATTACTACCAGAGAAACTACTGATCTCAGCACATTTTCATTCAAACTGGCAGTGTTTGCAGGCCTTGTCACACTAACACTGAAGAGCTATCGTGCAGATATTTTACTTTGACTTCACTATGTAGTCATTGAGAGTCTACTTGGTGAGTAGAATACTGAAAGGAAAGGAAATAATTGCTAATAAGGTGCATATTTCAAGAAGCAATTGCATCATAGACTATTGGAATAAGAGGTTTTGCAATCTAACAAGACTATATTGGATGTAAGGCTTCATCTCACACTGGTAGTGTGAGTCTGGGAAAATACATATTAATAATAGAATTTATTTGAGTATTTTTGGGGTAGGCCTTATGCCAAATTACTTATGTAAGTGATTTGACTTGCTAAAATCAGCTTTCTTATCTGTTAGATAATTTCCGGGAGTTTTTAAATGAGACTATAAACTAGGAAGTGCTAATTATAGCATCTGAAACATAATAGGTACACAATAAATTCTCAGTCCTCTTCTACATTACATAATTTTGTGTCTAATCTATTTCAGTAGGCTTTATGTTTTTAAGGTATATAGACTGCCAGAATTTATTTGTGAGATCATTTTCCTACAATGAAACACAAATACTTTGCTTTAGTAAAGTTAATCAAGACGTATGGCTGTATGAGTATGGTGTCAACATCATTTCATTTGGAGGATTCAAATAGGGCCAGTCTCAGAAGTAGATTAAATAGATAGATAGTAACCTGCATGGCATGCTTTTCTTTCTTTCTTTGTTTTGAGACAGAGTCTTGCTCTGTCACCTGGGCTGGAGTGCACTGGTGAGATCTCAGCTCACTGCAACCTCTGCCTCCTGGGTTCGAGAAATTCTCTGCCTCAGCCTCCTGTGTTTTACCCCAAGTCTAATGATACTGCAGAGGTTGCATTATCAACAGTTACCCCTCAGTTGTGGATTAATATGTGGACTCACACTGGCTTTTTGAGCCAATTACCATAGAAAAATACTTGTTATGAAATGCACAGGGCCAGAGTTTCCATTATGGAATCACTAATCTGCAGATTGTTTGCCCGTCTGTTTGAAAATCTTAAGGAATAAAAAATGATTCCAGAAATTTGAACCAAAGCAATTGGGAGAATGGTACTCCCATTTACTGAGAGGTTAAAGATCACCAAAGAAGCATCTTTGGTAGATGGTGAGGTAGAAGGTGGGACTCAACTCTGGAGGTGGGGCTTGGGCACCAAACCAAATTGAGGACTAGCTAAAATAGGGCCAGGGCAGAAGGAGCTTTCTATAAGACACACCCACCAGTGTGCCATGTCAGTTTACCATTGCCATGACAACACCCACAAGTTACTGCCTCTTTCCATGGCAACAACCTAATTACATAGAAGTTATTACCTTTTTCTTAAAAATTTCTGCACAAACCATCCCTTAATTTGCATATAATTAAAAATGGGTATAAATATGATGGCAGAATTGCCTCTGAGCTGCTATTTTGGGCACACTGCCTATGGGATAGCCCAACTCCACAAGGAGGCATTCCTCTGCTGCTGCTGTACACGCCACTTCAATAAAAGTTGCTGTTTAACACCACCAGCTCACCCTTGAATTCTTTCCTGGGCAAAGTCAAGAACCCTCCTGAGCTAAGCTCCAATTTTGGGGCTTGCCTGTCCTGCATCAATGCTATGTGTACGGTGGCACAAGGAAGGTTGGAAGCTCACTTTTAGACATGGTAAGTTTGAAATGACTATTAGACATCTAGTTGGAGATAGCGGTTCACCAATTGAACATTCAAATCTACTGTTCAGGGAAAAGGTCTAGCTAGAGATAGAAATCTGGGCGTCATTCACCTATAAACAGTATTTAAAGCCAAGACACTAGATGAGAATGAGATAATAATAAAACATTAAGTGTGGATAGATAAGATAAGCTGTCCAAGGATGGAGTTCTGAGGCACACCAACAATAAGAGATGCAGGTGATGGTCTGGGGTAAGAAACATCCACAAATGAAACCAAGGAGTAGAAAAGGTGGCAAAGTAAAACTAAGGAGAATGTGGTGTCTTGGTTAAAGACCTAAAGCTTTTAAAATATTTCAATTTCATAAATCAAAGTGGATTCAAAATTAGTTCTGTAATAATGTCACTTCCACTATTCGCATCCTGATATTTTGTTGTTGTTGTTGTTGTTTGTTTTTGTTTTTGTTTTTTTTGAGACAGAATCTCACTCTGTCTCCCAGGCTGGAGTGCAGTGGTGCGATCTCACTCACTGCAACTTCTGCCTCCTGGGTTCAAGCAGTTCTCTGCCTCAGTCCCCCGAGTAGCTGGGATTACAGGTGCCTGCTGCCATGCCCGTCTAACTTTGTATTTTTAATAGAGATGGGGTTTCACCATCTTGCCAGGCTGGTCTTGAACTCCTGACCTCTTGATTCACCCACCTTGGCCTCCCAAAGTGCTGGGATTCCAGGCATGAACCACCGTGCCTGGCCCTGATATGCTTTTTTTGAGTGAGAAAGAAAAGGACAGAACCACAATTAGCAGGCTAGAAATTATACACAAGCAGCCTGCCTAGTCCATACCACCATGTGTACATGTAATTATTACTGGTAAATGGTTAATAAACTTAACAACTAAAATAACACAAAAAAGCAAACAAAACTATAATGTCAGTTTCTGGGTACCTTACTCCTTATTCCATCCCATATGTTAGTCGTTTTCAAATATGGGAGAAAAAGGCTTTGTCAAAATCTTGATGTATCCATGCAATAAATCACTGGTTAACTAAATCATTAAATAATATTCATGAACAATCTGTTCTGTATGCTGAATTAAGGAAAAACATCGAGAATCTCAGTAGAGATTCTTTGGAGGTACCTCACTATCCACGTCTGCTTTAGTTCATCAGTCAGAGCTACATGTATAACTTTGTATAACTTCTCAACATGTGTTCTTAAAATATTTCCCAATGTATTAGTGTTATCAGTAAAAAGCTTTCTACTTTATTTTCTTCTCATATCCCATTGTGTTTTATATCCTACATTTGATTATAAATCTTGTTGTCCATACAATCAAAGTCTACTGTATTATTCTGTTTTCATACCTCTGTAAAGAACTGCCTCAGACTGGGTAATTTATAAAGAGGTTTAACTGACTCACAGTTCTGCATGGCTGAGGGGGCCTCAGGAAACTTACAATCATGGCAGAAAGCAAATGAGAAGCAAGGCAAGTCTTACATAGCAGCAGGAGACAGAGAGTGAAAGGGGGAAGTCCACATTTTTAAAATAACCAGATCTCATGAGAACTCACTATCACGAGAGCAGCAAGGGGGAAGTCTGCCCCCATGATTCAACCACCTCCCACCAGGTCCCTCCCCCGATATGTGGAGATTACAATTTGAGATGATATTTGGGTAGGGACACAGAGCTAAACCATATCATCTATTAAGAACCTAACCACTTACTACTCCATCCAGTCCTACCACCTTTATCCAAGGCATTATCATTTCTTTTCCGGATTATTACAAAAACCTCCTAATTGTTCTCCCTAGTTTCCTTTTAAAATGAAAGTTAGATCATAACACTCCTTTGTTTAAAAGTCTCCAAAGTCTTCCCAGAGCATTCAGAATGAAACTCAAGGCCTTCCAGTGGCTTACAAGGTGCCATATACTGTGGTTCTCTGTGACCTCTTGAACTGCATCTGTTATTAGCTGCAATTATAAGGGTCATGTTCCTATTCCTCTAACACCTCAGGTCTCTCCCAACCTAAGTTTTATATTTTTTCTGCCTAATATGCTCCTCTCTAAGATGTTTATATGATCACATCCCATCACTTATTAGGCCTTTTTTCAAATGTAACCTTCTCAATTGAAGCTTTCCCCGATCACCCTGTAGAAAAATGCAACACTCCATACATTCTAGTCACCCACTCAAACTTTTTTCTTCATTTTCTTAATATTTATTGGCCTTTAATGAATTTTCCTTCTTATTGATGTTGTTTATAATGTCAGTTTCTTCACAGTACAAAATAATTTATTCATGTGATGTCCTATCTTTCTGTTTTGATCACTGTTATCTCCAACATTAAAAAAGTGCCTGGCACATGATAGAAGCTCAAGAGCTGTCAAATGAAAAATGTACTAATTATTACATTTTTGGCCTATTTCACAACTGTTGGTGGAAATTACTGTTCTATATAGAGTTTTCTCATTCATAATAATGGTTTGATTCTGTATTTATTTAGCTCTTCTATAATTTCTGTCAGCAATATATTGTAGTTTTTAACACTGCATATATTTTGCATAATCTAATTACTTCATATTTATTGATATTATAAATTGTAATTAAAAATTATTTTCTAATTACTCAATGCTAGTACATAGATACAAAGCTTGACTTACATATATTTACATTATATCTTGCAACTTTGCCAAACTCATTTGTTAGTTCCACTAGCTATTTGAAAATCAGGTAACCTGCAAATTTAGTCAGGATTTTCTTGTAAATCTATATGCTTTTGTCCCTACACCCTTTTTTAAGAAAAGTAATATCTTTTTTCCCTTGTTCCAGATCTTAGGTAAAAAAAGCAGTCCTTCTCTATTAAGAACAATGGTAAGTATAGGTGTTTCATAATTGGCCTTTATCAGGTTGAGGGAAAATATAAATTCTATGATTAACTTTCTGGGAGTGATTATAATAAATCAATGCTGAATTTTTTCAAATGATTTTAAACATCCATTGAAACGACTATGTGTTTTTTTCTTGTTTAATGTGTTATTATTGATTACTTTGATTAATTGTTTTAAATGTAGAACCAGACTTGCATTCCTGGAATGAACTTTATTTGGGTATTATCCCTCTTATAGATTGCTGAATTTGATTTGCTAATATTTCATTAATTATTTTTACATCAGTGTTCATGAGAGATAATAGTCTAGTTTTCTTGTGATGTCTTTGATTTTGGCAGCAGGGTGCTGGCATTATATGGAAGACTTTGTATAGAGTTGGTATTATTTCTTGTTTAACTGTTTGACAAAATTCACTATTAAAGCTACCTCAGCAATGGATTTGTATGTGGGGAGTGGGGGGACGGAGGGTGGCTTTTACTACAGATTTAATACCATTAGATTTATTAAGATTATTGCTTAAGAGAACTTTCATAATTTGTATCATTCCAGGAATTAGCTAAGTTGGTGAATTTTTGGTCATAGGGATTTTCAGAATACTCTTTTATTTTTATTTTAATTTCTGTAGTATTTATTTTGATGTACCCTTTTTTATTACCGATATTAGTATTTTTTTGTTTTTTTCTTCTGATTTCCCTGGCTATTGATCTCTTCAAAGTATTTGATTATAGTTTTATGGATTATTTCCACTTTTCTTCTGATTTTTATTTTATTGATTTGTGCTATCTTTACTATCAATTTCCTTCTGCTTCCTTGGTGTTTGATTTGTTCTTCTTTTTTCATTTTATAAGATGAAAGCTTAAATCATTACTTAATACTTTTCTTAATGAACCTAAGAATTTAATTCTATACTACTTTAAATGTATCCCACAAATACTATTTTAATTTTCATTCAACTTAAAATGCTATTTTAATTCTACTTCAATTTAAAATATTTATAATTTCCATTGGGACTGCTTCTTTGATTCATATTATTTAGGATTGCATAATTAAACTTAAAATATGTTAGTATTTTCTAGTGGACATATTTTGCTTTATTACTATGAAGCTCTGATACTCAGTATTGCTTTGTCTTCTAGATGAATTGAAACCTTTATGATTATCTTTTTTATCCCTAGCAATATTGCTATTTCTTACTTTGCCTGATATTAAAATAGTTCCATACCTCTCTGTCACATCTCTTTTTAATATCTTTTTGTTTTTTAACTGGCATGTTGTACATATTAATAGAGTAAAATTACAATGTTTCAAGATATAAATATATATTCAATATATAAATAATCAAGTCAAAGTACTCCATCACCTCATCCATTTATCATTTCTTTGTGGTGAGAGCATTCAAAAGCCTCTCTTCTAGTCATTTTGTAATATACAATATTCTACTGTTAACTATAGTCAACCAACAGTGCAATAGAACACAGAACTTATTCCCTTTATCTAACAGTAACTTTGACCAACCTTTTCCCATCCTACCCCCTTTCCACCCTGCTCCCCAGTTGCTGGTAATCACTATTCTACTTTCTGCTTCTATAATATCAACTTTATTATTTATTTATTTTTTAGATTCCTCATATGAATGAGATTGTGTGGTATTCATCTATCTGTGTTTGGCTTATTTTGCTTATTATGATGTCCTCCAAGTCTGTACATGTCACAAATAACAATATTTCATTTTTTATGACTAAATAGCATTTTGCTGTGTATATATACCACATTTATTTCCATTCATCCATTTACATATACATGTCGATTCCAAGATAGCTATTGTAAACAGTGCTGCAATAAACATGGAGTATAGGAATCTCTTCAACATACTGATTTTTATATTCTTTGGATCTATTTTCAGTAGTGGGATTTCTGGATCATAGAGTAGCTCTATTTTTAATTTTTTGAGGAACTGTCATACTATTTTCTAGAATTGCTATCCTAGTATACAATCCCACTAATAGTTTGTAAGAGTTCCCTTTTCTCCACATCCTCATCAATACTTGTCTTCTTTCGTCTTTCCCCCAATAAGTCTTCTTGGCAACATTGTCACAAATCAGTTGGCTGTCGGTGTGTGAATTTATTTCTGGGCTCTCTATTCTGTTCTAATGGTCTATGTGTCTGTTTTTATGCCAGTACCATGCTGTTTTCATTATTATAGCTTTATAGTATATTTTCAAGTCAGGAAGCATGATGCCTCCATCTTTGTTCTTTTTGCTTAGGTTTGTTTTCTATTTGGTATCTTTTGTGGCTCCATATGAATTTTAGGATCAGGTTTTTGAAAACAGGAACAAATTTAAGTACTCCCCTTCAGTGTGTATGCCTTTTATTTCTTTTATCTTGCCTGATTGCTCTAGCTAGAACTTCCATTCTTATTTTGAACAGAAGTGCTGAAAGTGAGAATTCTTGTCTTATTCTTCATCTTAGAGAGAAAGCATTCAGCTTTTATCCACTCAGTGTGAGGTTAACTATTGAGTTTGACATATACGGCTTTTATTGTCTTGAGCAACATACTTTCTATGCCCACTTGTTAAGAGATTCTATTATAGAGGGATGTTGGATGTTGCTGAATGCATTTTCAGTGTCTCAAAATTATTATATTGTTTTTGTCTTTCTTTCTGTTCATGTGGTGTATCACATTTATTGATTTTCATGTGTTAGATCATTCTTGCATCCTGGAATAAGTCACACTTGATCACAGTGAATAATCTTTTTAATGGGCTATTGAATTTGGCTTGCCAATATCTTGTTTAGAATTTTTGCATCTATATTTAGCAGAGATCTTAGCCTGTAGTAGTCTTTTTTGTCATGTCTTTGTCAGATTTTGGACTCAGGATAATACTGGCCTCATAAAATGAGTTTGGAATAATATATTTCTCTTCAATTTTCTGAAATACTTTGAGGAGAATCAATATTAATTCTTTCTTAAATGTTCTATAGAATTCAGAAGTGTACTTCTCAGATCCTCAACTTTTCTTCAATGAAAGGCTTTTTATTACTGACTCCATATTCTCACTCATTTTTAGTCTTTTCAGATTTTCTATTTCCTCATTATTTAATCTTGGTAGTTTATGTGTTCAGGAATTTATCTACTTCTTCTAGGTTATCAAATTTGTTTGCAATATCATTATTCAAAATAGTCTCTTATAAGCCTTTATATCTCTGTGTTTATCAGTTGTATTTTACTCTTGTTGCCCAGGCTGGAGTGCAGTGGTGAAATCTCAGCTCACTGCAACCTCCGCCTCCTGGGTTCCAGTGATTCTCCTGCCTCAGCCTCCCGAGTAGCTGGAATTACAGGCACCCACTACCACGCCTGGCTAATTTTTTGTATTTTTAGTAGAGACGGGGTTTTGCCATATTGGGCAGGCTGGTCTCAACTCCTGACCTCAGGTGATCCACCCACCTCGGCCTCCCAAAGTGCTGGGATTACAGGTGTGAGCCACTGCACCAGTCCATAATGTGTCTTTTTTAATCTCTGGTTTTAGAGTGTTTTTTACTATTCTACCTAAAACTTTGTCAATTTTTTTTTCCAAAAAACAAACTCTTCATTTTATTAGTCTTTTGAATTGTTTCAGTCTCTATTTCAATTATTTTTGCTCTAATTTTTATTATTTCCTTCTTTCTACCAACTTTGGTTTCAGTTTGTTTTTGTTTTTCCAGTTTCCTGGAGTACAATGTTAGGTTGTTTATTACAAATCTTTCTTTTTTATTGATGTTGGCATTTATTGCTATAAATTTTGCTCTTAGAAATGCTCTTGCTCTGTCTTGATATGATGTTTTTCCATTCTTATTTGTCTCAAGAAATTTTTAAATTTTCCTTTCAATTTCCTTATCGTGATGCCTCTGGCTTTGTTCTTTTTGCTTAGAATTGCTTTGGCAGTTCAGGCTTCTTTTTGATTCCATGTGAATTTTAGACTTTTTTTTTTTTAATTCTGTGAAAAATGATGTTGGTGGTTTTATAGGAATAGCATTGAATGTGTAAATTGCTTTGGGCACTATGGCCATTTTAACAATATTGATTTTTCCTATTCATGAGCATGAGATGTTTTTCCATTTATTTGTGTCATCTCTGATTTATTTCAGTAGTGTTTTGTAATTCTTGTTGTAGAGTCTTTCATCTCATTGTATGCTGTATGTCTAGGTATTTTATTCTTTTTGTGGCTATTGAAAGTGGGATTGCATTCTTGATTTGGCTCTAAGTTTGAACATTATTTGTGTATAGAAATGCTACTGATGTGGGTACATTGATTTTGTATCCTGAAAATTTACTGAAGTTGTTTATCAGTTCTAGAAGCCTTCTGGCAGAGTCTATGGGGTTTTCTAGTTATAGAATCATATTGTCTATAAAGAGAGATAGTTTGACTTCCTTGCTTTCTGTTCGAATGTATTTTATTTTTTTCTCTTGCCTGATTGTTCCGGCTAGGGCTTTCAGTACTATGTTGAATAGGAGTGGTGAGAGTGAGCATCCTTGCCTTGTTCTACTTTTCAAAGGGAATGCTTCCAAATTTTGCCCATTCAGTATGATGTTGGCTGTGGGTTTGTTTTAAATGGCTCTTATTATTTTGAGGTATGTTCCTTTGATGCCAAATTTGTTGAGAATTTCTAACATGAGGGAATGTTGAATTTTATCAAAGGCCTTTTCTGAATCTGTTGAGATGATTACATGGGTATTGTTGTTAATTCTGTTTATGTGGTAAATTACATTTAATAATTTGCATATATTAAAGCAACCTTGCATCTGAGAAATAAAGCCTACTTGATTGTGTTGAATTAGCTTTTATCTAACTTCAAACTATATTACAAGTCTACAGTAATCAAAACAGAATGCTACTGGTATCGAAACAGACACATAGACCAATGAAACTTAATAGGGAACACAGAAATAAAGCCACATATCTACAATCACCTGATCTTTGATAAAGTCAACAATTATAAATAATAGAGGAAGGACTTCCTATTCAATATATGGTGCTGGAATAACTGGCTAGCCATATGTAGAAGATTGAAACTGGACTCCTTACTTTAAACACAGACAAAAATTAAATCTAGGTGTATTAAAGATTAAATGTAAGACCCCAAATGATAAAAACCCTAGATGAAAATCTAGGAAATACCATTCTAGACATGGTGGCAAAGAATTTATTACTAAGTTCTCAAAAGCAATTGCAACAACAACAAAAATCAACAAGTGGGACCTAATTAAGCCAAGGAGCTTCTTCAAAGCAAAAGAAACTATCAATAGAGAAAACACACAACCTACAGAATGCGAGAAAGTATTTGCAAACTATGCATCCAACAAGGTCTAATACTCAGAATCTATATGGAACTTTTCAATAAGCAAAAAACAAGTAGCCCCATTTAAAAAAAATAGACAAAGGACATTAACAGAGACTTTGCAAAAGAAGACATACGTGCAGTCAACAAGCAATATGCTCATTATTACTAATCATTAGAGAAATGCAAAGCAAAACCACAATAAGAAACCATCTCACACCAGTCAGAATGGCAATTATTAAAAAGTCGAAAAACGACAGATGCTGGCAAGGTTGCAGAGAAAAGGGAACACTTATACACTGCTGGTGGGAATGTTAAATTAGTTAGCCACTGTGGAAAACAGTGTGGAGATTTAGCAAAGAACTCAGATAAGTTCAGAGCTACCATTTGACCCAGCTCTCCCACTATTGGGTATATACTCAAAGGAAAATAAAAATTTCTACTAAAAAGACATATGTACTTTTATGTTCACTACAGAAATATTCACAATAGCAAATACATGGAATAAACCACCATGCTTGTCTATATGAACTGGATAAAGAATATGTGGATACATACAACATGGAAAACTACACAATAATGGAAAAAGGATAAATTCATGTCCTTTGCAGCAACAAGGATGTAGGTGGAGACACTTATTCTAAGTGAAGTAACACGGGAATAGAAAACCAAATACCACATGCTCTCACCTATAAGTAGGAGCTAACCACTGAATATACATGGACATCCAAAAAGAAACAATAGACATTGGGGAGTGCTTTAGGAAGGATGGTAGGAATGCAGAGTGTGGGTTGGAAGGGTACTTATCAGTTACTGTGTTCACTACCTTGGTGACAGCATCATTCGTACACCAAAAAACCTCAGCAATATGCAATTTACACATGTAACAAACCTGCACATGTACACTCAGAAACAAAAATTAAAACTTTTTTTTCATTGATCTATTGGTTCTTTAGAAGTATATTGTTTATTTCTATGTATTTTTACACTTTGCATGTTATACTGTTGTTGATTTCTAGTTTTATACTATTGTGATCAGAAAAGATGCTTGATATAACCTCTATCTTCATTTTTTTTTTTTTTTTTTGAGATGGAGTCTTGCTCTGTCACCCAGGCTGGAGTGCAATGGCACAGTCTCGGCTCACTGCAAGCTCCTCCTCCCGGGTTCATGCCATTCTCCTGCCTCAGCCTCCCTAGTAGCTGGGACTACAGGTGCCCACCACCACGCCTGGCTAATTTTTTTGTATTTTTAGTAGAGGCGGGGTTTCACTGCGTTAGCCAGGATGGTCTGAATCTCCTGACCTTGTGATCTGCCTGCCTTGGCCTCCCAAAGTGCTGGGATTACAGGCGTGAGCCACCGTGCCCGGCCTATCTTCATAAATTTTATAAGACTTCTTTTGTGGCATAACATGGGATCTACTCTTGAGTAAGTTCTGTGTGCAGTTCAGAAGAATGTGTATTTCACAGCTGTTGGATGGAATGTTCTGTAAATATCTGTTAGGTCCATTTGGTCTATGGTGCAGTTTAAATTCAATGCTTCTTTGTTGTTTTTCTGCCTAGATGATGTAACTATTGCTGAAAGTGTGGTAGTGAAGACCTCCACTTTTATTGTATTGCAGTCCATTTTTCCCTTTAATTCCAATAATATTTGCTTTGTATAACTGGGTGCTCCAGTATTTGCTGCAGACGTATTTACAATTATTATATTCTCTTGCTGAATCAATCCCTTTATCATTATATAATGACCTTCTTTGTCTCTTTTTGCAGTTTTTAACTTAGAGTCTATTGTATCTGATATAAGTATTGCTACTTCTGCTTGCTTTTTATTTCAACTTACATGAAATATCTTTTTCCATTCCTTCACTTTAAGTTTATGTTTGTCTTTAACAATGAGGTGAGTCTCTCATTAGCAACATATAGTTAAGTATTTTTATTTTCATCCAGCCTCTATCTTTTAAATGGAGGATTTAATCTATTTTCATTCAAGATTATTATTGATAGGTAAGAATTTATTCTTTCCATTTTGTTAATAGCTTTCTGGTTGTTTTATAGATCTTTTGTTTCTTTCTTCCTCTCTTGTTGTTTACCTCTGTGGTTTGGTAGTTTTCTATGGTTTTCATTGTTTTATTTCTATGTATCATTTATATATCTGCTGTAAGTTTATTTTGTTGTGGCTACCATGGGGCTAATATAACGAGTCTTGTAGTTATAATAGACTATTTTAAGTTGATAGCAACTTAACTTTGGTTGTGTAAAAATACTGTAGACATTTTCCTTCCCCTCTCACAATTTATATTTTTGTTGCCTTAATTTACTTCTTTATCTATTGTATTTCCAACAGTTACCCATTGTAACTGTTATTGTTTTTGATCGTATTGACTTTAAACTTTTATACTAGAGTATTGAAAGATTTACCAGTGCATTAGTACACCAGTGCATCACTGGGGTATTCTGAGTTTGATTTATGAATTTACCTATACTGGTGAGTTTTGTACTTTCACATATTTTTATAGTAGTAATTATTGTCCTTTCATTTTCAGTTAGAGCACTGTCTTAAGCATTTCTTGTAGGGCTGCTCCAGAAATGATGAATTCTTTCAGGTTTCACTTATCTGTAAAAATCTTATTTCTCCTTTTTTTTTGAAGAATAGCTTTGCTGGATATAGTATTCTTGACTATCAGGGTTTTTGTTTTGTTTTGTTTTTGTTTCTTTTTACTCTGAGCACTTTTAATATACAATTTCCTTCTCTCCTAACCTGCAAGGCTTCTTCTGAGAAATATGCTGATAGTCTAATGAAGATTCTCTTGTATGTGACCTGAGGATTTTCTCTTTCAGCTTTTATAATTCTCTTTGTCTTTGACTTTTTATAATTTAATCATAATGGGCCTCAAAGAGAACCTTTTAGGGTTAAATCTATTTTGGAACTTTTGAGCTTCCTCAATTTGATGTTGTATCTCTCCTAATTCTTGGAAAGTTTTCAGTTATTATATCATTATATAACTTTCCTATGCCACTTCCCTTCTTTTCTTATTCTCAAACTCCTATAATGCAAATATTTGTTCTCTAAATGGTTTTCCATATGTTTTTAGGCTTTCTTTATTCTTTTTTTATTTTTGATGATTTTTTTCTCTGACTACATTATTTCAAAAGACCTGTGTTCAAGTTAAGAAAACTTTATTTCTACTTAATCTACTCAGTTGTCAATGCTCTTAATTGTATTTTTTATCTTATTGTTTAAATTTTTCAGCTCTAATAATCCTTTTTGTTTCTTTTTTATGATATCTTTCTTTATTGAATTTCTTATTCAGATTATGGATAGTTTTCCTGATTTTTTTTTATTTGCTTGTCTGTGTTCTCTTGCATCTCACTGAGTTTCCTTAAGATCATAATTTTGAATTTCTTTTCAGGCATTTTGTAAATGTTCTTTTCTTTGGGGTCAGTGTCTGAAAACTTATTGTTTCTTTGGGGCTGTCATCTTTCCTTGCTTTTTGCGTTCCTTGCTTTCTTGTGTTCCAACATTGATATCTGTGCATTTAGTGGAACAGTCACTTTTTCAAGTTATCCAGAGTACCTTTCTTAGGAAGAGACTTTTTCCTATAGATGGGTTTTAGGGTATTAGTTGGGTTTGATGCATTGGCTTTGGTTCTGAGTAAACTCAGTAGCATGGTCCTTGTGCAGTTTCTTCATCTGTAATCTTCATCATTAATTTCTACAGTTCGTTTAGTTGCCTCAAATGCAGAAGTTTTTGAAGCTAATGGTGTGTGTTTGCTGGGGATGTGGGTGCTGGTTGGTTGTGGGTTAGGTATGTGATGCGGCAAAGGGCCAATAGGCTGCCCAGTGGGCTCTCTGGGGAGGTAGGAATTGCTGCACACATGGACACAGTTGCCTGGGAGGCTTTGTAGCAGTCTCTCTGGAAAGACAGAACTGCTTCCAGACAGAACTTCAAGCTGAGCATGAGAGTCCAGGTGTGGCTGGGCCATATGGTTCTGTGGTAGTCTCCCTGGGGAGGTTGGGCTGCCATTAGAACAGTTATCATGCCAGGCATGAGTAGGTATGGGTAAAATGGAGCCAGGAAACTCTACAGTTATATGCTCAAGAAGGTGAGCCACTGCCAAATCAGCTGTCAGGCTGGGCATAGGTGTGCATGGGTCAGGTGAGGCTGGGTGGCTGTGTGGCAGTTTTCTCAGGGAGGTAGGACTGCCACTGTGCAAGCTGTTTAGCCAAGCATTGGTGCATGTGTGTTCAGTGGGCCAGCTGCTGTTCAATAGCTTCCCTGCTGTGCAGATCTGCCAGTTCTCTGGAAGGGTGGGGTGCTGCATGGGTTTCGACACTTTGGTCTCAGTTGTTTCATCTTGCCTAAGTTCCATGCAACTGGGGTCATGGTGCTACAGGCACCTGCATGAACATGGTGGAATAACAGCAGGGTCTCAGGGACATGGAGAGTCAGTTGCCACTAGTCCCCAGATCAGGGCACATCCTAGCAGTGGGTTTGGTTTCAAGATGGTCCTATGCCATAGCAGCTTAGGTTGTGAGGATGGGGATGTTCAAGGTGGGCTTCTACTCTGATATGACGCAGCTACCTGTACTCCCAGCTACTCTCTAAGCTGGATTCACAATCTACTAGGATTTGGGGCCTCTCCTGTAGCAAGAATTTCTGGCATTTATGGCAGCAGTGAGAGCCATTGGGGATCTCCAGCTTATTCCTTCTTTGTAAGAAGGCTCTCTGACTCCAAACTGATTTCGTTGGAGAGACAGTTTGTCAGAGGCAGGATACCTTGCTCCCCTTCTATTGTTTTATTCTGAGATTTTGTGCTCCGCAGGAATTTTGCCACTCCCCTGGCACTCTTTAGTATATTTCCCCAGTCACTCCAGTCAAACATAGTTGGTTATCTTGCTGACATCACTCCTCTGTCTCTATCTTTAAAAAAAAATAGTATTGCATGGTAGAAGAGAGAAGATATACCTTTTTTAAAGATTAGCTTAAGGCTCACTATGCCTCTATAAATTATAGTCCCTTTCACTTTAAGCCTTAATAATGTACTTATTGGAAACGTTTTATATGTTATAATAGTTGTTTGAAAACTATTAACCTCTTTGGTTAATTTGTCACTTTCAAACAATTGCAATGCATAATTTACCACTGTTAAACAATTCACCAATTTCTAACAAAGTTCAGTTGTACCTTCATAAGTACCTTTATAAGAGTGCTTACCATACAACAATAAATCACAATGTCTATCACATCATAATAAGCAAATAACTTATTTAATTGAATACTTTCAAAATATATATGTTTTTGTTAGAGAAAGTATGAAGATGGACAACCTTTTTTAAATGATGTAGATAAAATAATTTATAAAGTCTTCTGTTATTCAATTCTTCATAAGTAGAAGAATCGAAGTGGTTAAAATAATGGCTATATATACAAAAAAGAGGAATACATTGTCATCAGAGTTTATGTCTTTTGTAAAAGTGGTTTTGGGCCTCATACATTCCGTAATTCTCAGAGCAACGAGTAGTCCGTGTGACTCTGGCAATTGTACGTGAACATGTTGACTTTGAGGACATAAACTATGGTTGATATTTTTTATCATCCTTGGCACTAACTAGTTTATGCATGTGGTAAGCATTCATTGAATCTTTGTTGATGATGTGAATGAATGAATAAATGAATGAATGAGGAAGAGGAGTGTGGTATGAAATTGCAGAGTGAGATCTCTGCAATTTCAATTGTTAAATATCAATTTTCATGAATCCTGTGTCAGAGACTAAAAATTCCGCACACAATAAAGATGATCTTAATACAAAACAATTCAAATTCATCTGAACAATGAAAGTAAATAGTTTTGGTTTTTTTTTTTTGACTATATGTTGCAAGGAAGTCAGTCAGGTTGCGAGGAAGTCAGTCAGGATTTAAAGTGTCTTCCTTGCAACAGAAATTGATTTCAATGCTGATGGTTCTGTGATGTAGTGGAATTAAAAATATTTAACCACTAGTAGGAAATATTTTGGAGGATACAATTTTCAACAAGTGGCCACATGTAACAAAAGACCATGTGAGGATATCCCCTGGGGAAATAACTACCTATAGGAGGACACCAAACCTCAGGGTGCCAACAGGACGTTAATCATTTGCCTGTTTCCCTTTTCAGAGTTGAGGTCTGCTCTAGACAGAGGAATTACTTCTAGTGATGGTGGTCATTTCACAGGAGTCATGTATGGTAGGTTCTTTGGCTAGCTCATTGACCAGAGGGTACCAGAACAGCTCACTAAAAGTATTCACTTAAGTTACTGTAGGGCTAGGCCAGTGGAGGCAGGGCTATTTGAAGGGTTTGGTCAATGTTTATTTACCAACCAGAATAAAAGAATTTCAATATTTTGAACAACCAATATAAATGATATCATTATGTATCAGCTTAATATGAGTCATATGATCTGTTTGGGTGATTATATACATTTGACAAGTATTGAGTTAAACATGGTTTTTTACTATGGAAATTTTCAGAGCTCTAAATTTAGCAGTGTGCGTTCTGACTCTTTAAGAAAAATAGGCGGTACCTAGTTTTTTTTTCGACTTACTTGGACGTGGAACCCTTTTTCTATAGATTACATCTTGGGATTGTTTTTGTTTAAAACTGTGTTAATAAATTCTGTACAGAGTCTATGAAATATTCAAAGTAATTAGTGTTGTAACAACCCTAAAATTGCAGTAACTTACAGTGACTTAAGGCAAACATTTACTTCCACCTCTCATTACAGTCCAAGATGGGGTTGGGTTGCTCTTCTGGATAGCAGTCTTTCAAATAGTTGTTCAGGGATGTGGACCTTTCTGTCAATTTTTTTTCCACTGGAGCAACCTTCACCAAAGGTGGAGTCATGTCCTTAATGTGCCTTAAACATCTCTCATAATAAACAGAATAATTTAAAGTCAAATTGACCCCCATTCCTAGTTATTCCCCCCCCAAAAAAAAAATCCTCTTTGTAAAGAATTTTGCATTTAAGCAAAACGGTGAAGAAGTCTTTAAAGGGAGAGGAAAGTTCTTTAAACTATACAATGTAAACTTTAAAACATATGTGTGTGCATATATATATATATATATGTAATAGCTATACTAGCTATACACAGATACAAAACATATACGGTTAAAATAAAGTTATTGTTTTAGGAGAGAGAATTTTAAGGAAGAAGTCAGCTTCTAATAGGAAGAAGAGGACATATATATATGTCCTATTCTGCTTTTTATTATGACATATTAAGCTCAAGATATTTTACAAACACAAATAGCTCAAAATTTATTTGTTATAAAGAAAATAAATTACAAATAGGCTCTTGTCATAAACATTTATATATGTGTGTGTGTGTGTATATATATATATATAGAGAGAGAGAGAGAGAGAGAGAGATATGTCTTTGGCATAAAAATGTAACGAATATGCAGAGACTTGCAAAACAGTTATGAGGATTTTCATTTTATACAAGAATAAACACTTTCTGTAAAAGAAATGTAAAACCTTATAAATTGAAAACATAATCATCTTACTACCTCCATATCTACTTTGATCTTTGCACCCTAAATAACATTCTTTCCAAGGTTTCAATGACATGTATGTGCATGTACATTTTAAAACCTAAACCTACTTAAAAGAAGTGTTCTACAAACAAAACCATTATATATTTCAGATTTAATTTCCTATGCATTTTAATAATGTTGTACTCTATATCAAGCTACCCTTCAGAGAATAACTTGTTTGCAGTGAAAAAGAAAGGCAAATTTTCCTGCTAATAAAATCATGTAGTGTAAATTGCTCCACCCTCCTTCCAAACTGTGAGAGCCTCTGGGTAGTTAAACTACTCTAAAGATCATTTTTGGTAAACAACTATTATCTCCTCAAGCTGACACCAAAGGACTCTTGAAGTCAGCAAACAATCTAGTCATCTGGATGGGAAGCTGAAACCAGTTAGCAAAAGAAATAAGTCTTCAGGTCAACAGAAGCTCACTGGGATTAGAAGAAACTAATTTATTTGAAAGCAAGAAGGTGACACCTGAGTCAGGAGGAGATTAAACCTAGACTTGGAACTGAGTTGGTTATTATACGGGACAAATACTCTTCCTAATGTGACCCTATGTAACAAACTTTAGCATCACGTACCTCCAAGGCACACAATGTATTGTATGCAACAAGACTGTCGTGTTGTACATGACTTACTTTTACCTGTGACACATGAGAGAAAGAGGTGGGAGTCAGACTTTTAGGGCTGCGATGGGCCTAGTTTTTCAGAGAGTCACATGAAGCAGGAAGAAACTGACTTTGGCCACTATTAGGCTATTCTTTCCTAGTTATCTTGAGAACATGCAATGGCCTCCTTCTCAAGCGTGTCTCCATGCAGATAGTAATGACTGTCATAGTTGAGTAAGAGGAGATTCTGAAAGGGACATACGCTTCCCTCCCTAAATTCTTTAGCTATATGCTTTGAGGAAATATGGAATAGATTTTTTAAAACCACCAATAGGCTGGGCATGGTGGCTCACACCTGTAACCTCAACACTTGGGGAGTCCAAGGCAGGTGGATCACTTGAGGTCAGGAGTTCGAGATCAGCCTGGCCAACAAGGCAAAACACAGTCTACTAAAAATACAAAAAAAAAAAAAAAAAAATTTGCCGGGTGTGGTGGTGTGTGCCTGTAATTCCAGCCACTTGGGAGGCTGAGGCAAGAGAATCGACTGAACCCGGGAGGCAGAGATTGCAGTGAGCCCAGATCATGCTACTGCACTCCAGCCTGGATAAGAGTGAGACTCCATCTCAAAAACAAAAATAAAAACAAACAAACAAAAAACTCACCAATAATGGAAACAATAATTATGGACCAAGCATATTGTACAAGAGCCTCTGGTTATTATTGCTCTGAGTATCTTGGTCACACATAACTGATTCGTTGTCAATGCTTTTAATGGATAGCTTCTTTTACTTGAATGCTTCATATCAAATATTGGTATCTCTTTAAATTTTTTTTTTTGGTTGCTTTTACCTTTGCTTGTTATTCTTCCATCCTGCCTCAAAGCAACTGGAACATGGATTATACAGATAAGCAGGGTTTTTGCTCGACTATTTTAAATTCGATTTATGAAGGTAGCTTATATTCTCATTGTCCTTGTTTTGTTTAATCCTGTTTGTCTCCCCTCATTACGTCCAAATGAACATACTCTATTTAAATCAGTGCTTGTGAATCAGAATGTCTTTTCAATAGTTAGAAACCGATGTTGTCACCGGTTTCGGCAAAAATAAGCATGAAAAGGAAAAGAGTGTGTTCAAATGTAGGGTTTGAATGAGCTATCTGCTGTTTTACAAACTTCATTTCTGGCATTAGTTTTAACAAGTTATGAAATTTGAACCCACTACAACTTCTGGATGAGGACTGATAACCAGGACAGGACAAAGACGAGTCACTTCTCCTCTTTCTTCTGGTGGGTTCTGCAGAGAATATTTTTAACCTCTCTCTGAAAATATGAACTTTTGAATAGTTATTTTCCACTCCATTCCTGCCCATTGAAAGTTGACAAGTTGCTGGTAACACACTGAATTTTTTAAAGCCCAAGAACTGAGAGGAGTTGAGCAAATCACCAGTGCCCCCTAGTGTCTGGAATAAACAGCCTCTTGGAAATCACAGTCAGCTGCAGTAGCCTTGCTCATGCAGCTGCTGGAGTCTTTTGTTAGAAGAAATGTGGTTTGTTTTCATTATGTCTTGGTATCCAAAGAGTTTCAGCTTTTCTCATAAATTCTTTGGAAACAGAAATGCTGCATTTTTCAGTTCAGGCGATATTTATTCCATAGTTATCTCTAAAAGTACAATGAAATGCAATTATATTCTTGAAGGGAGTGAGAATAGAAATATTATTTTTTAAAAAATAGAAACAATTTCAGCAAGTTCATTTCTATATTTAAAGTGTAATGCCACAAAGTTGATATAGATCTACTCTTTATATCTGGGCATGTGTGTGTGTATATATGTGTGTGTGTTTTAAATTTGCCTCTAAGTAGATGTGAATGTGACCTGTTTTTACCAATAGGATAATTAATTCAATCTCTAAAAATCTACAGAAGAGGAGACAAGTTATCCTTCTTGTCCTGGAGGGAAAATAAATAAGACATTTTCAAGGGATTCCACAGGCAAAACCATCTGTTGAAAATCACTCTGAATATAGAAGGTGGTAATTCTTGATCTCAAGGGATATAGCTAAAGGATGGAGATGGACTCTTTTTAAAGGTGATACCTCTTCCTAGAGGTTCCTAGAGACCTGAAGCATGGTATGTTGCTGCTTCCTACCAGTCATACATAGGCACCCACCCTCTCCAGCACCCACCCAGGGACTGCGTCTCAAGGGGCTCTGCAGATTCTGTGACAGCCAATCACACCTGGACTGCTGCAGAGGAAGCAATAGTCCTTGAGGTGTTGTGTTCCAAGGACAGCAATAAGAATGAATAAATGTCAGGAGGAGGATGACTCATAAACTCATATGAAAACATTTAAATTTGTTTAGTTTGGCCAGAGAGAAGATAATAATCGTGAGCAAATATATGAAGCATAGAGAAGTTGTTTTAAATGGTGTAAATAAAGGTTGAAGGGGAAATTGAACTGACAAATGTAGAGTGATTTTCTGAAAATATTTTCTAACCTGAAGTTTAGGCAATTATGAAAGTGTTAACAAGGAGGATGAGAAGTGTAAATTCCAGGATCTAAATTCCAAGTCAGATGGCAGCAAGAATCGTTGTGTTCAAAGGTGCTTTGTAAATGCTTGAGGATGCAACATGACTGTCTAGAATGGACAGAGTTTTAACAGCTGAATTAAATAAATAGTCCTCATTTACATTTTTAATATAAACCATTCTGTCTGCACTGGAGTTTCTATCTGCTATTTGTTTCATTTTCCATCACCCTTTTCTCTTTACATGTTTTACCTCATTGGAATACCCTGTCCTTGTCCAAATGATTCATTCTACATGTTCATTTTTTCCACAGAAATTTTTCTTCCTGCTCTATGTCTGTGGTCCTCTATGCCAGTATTTTCAGTGTCCTTAGAGAATAGTATAGATAGCTTATAGGTTATGACAGCAGCATAAGCAGCGAACTGCTTAGCTTTGAATAGTTCTGTAAAGTCAGGTACATCACTCAACTTTGCTGTGTTTCAGGGACTAAAATGAGAAAAATCATTGAAAAGTTGTGAGAATTAAATGACTTAACACAGCCACTTAGAACAATGTGTTGCATATAAGAAGTACCATTAAAATGTAAACTATTTTTTACTTAATTATTTTTACTACAATAACACATTTTACATTGTGATTGTGTGTGTATATATAAAATTAAGCAAAAATGTCCTTGTGTAATTACCTTATAGTGTGTAATGCATCCTATACTGTTCTTATATATTTCCTAAAAAACCTGTGAGCATGACCCACTAAAAATTGTTATGTGTTGTTATTGTTTCTTGACCCAAAGTTTGATAAACAAGTCTTAGGATATAAGTCTTAGGCTAAAAAGGTTTCTGGGATATAATAGGGAAATAAGGTACCCAGATATCATACTGGGCATGTCTAACAAATCTCAAGGCTCTGGAATTTCTTTTTAACATTTTACATTAACTGTGTAGCACTAAGTCTTATTGTGGGCACAGAATTTTTTTTTTATTTTACTGTTGATAGTAACAATAACAGCAACAATAAAACTGTCATCTTGCCAGAGTTTCCACATCCTAAGATAAGCAAATGACAGAAGGTTCTACTACCCTGCAAAAGGTTATTTTAGAAGAAGTAAGCATGTGGCTCCAGAACATTAGTAGTGCCAAGCAGATTTAGTTAACTTAAGAGCACTTAGTGGTTGCTCAAGAGGTAGGTTGTCATTTCTTTCCCTTCTTTCCTCCAAAACAATAAGACAACTGAAATGAAGATCCCTATGACTCTGTGTGTATGTATGATACTAGAGTTATAATATTCAGTAAAGATAAACATTGCTTAATAAAACATATATTTTTTAAATATACATTTATATGTGTATAAACAATAAAAATTTATTTCTTACTCTATGGCTGAATCTCAAGAGGGTTACTCAGAGGTTAAATTCAACTAGTAACTAAACTGTCTTTTCTTTCCCATTAATTTCTCTTATTCTTTCCAAATTAATTTAAAAAAATTCAACAATAATATTCTAAAAGAATGGGGGTGTAGAATGGGGGTGTGCCTGCAATCAAACAAGGAAGACTCAATGTGATAGTAACACTAATAAACAAAAATTGGTCCTGATAAATGTGGCCATTGGTACCCTGCAGAAGCTTTCCCCAGCTTATGGGATTTCCTGGAGTTCAGGGAGGAGACTGCTCTTAGGGAAGCCACTTTCTGAAAAGCCTGAGTTTACAGTCTGCCAACCCTAGACAAAGTCCCTGCTCTCAAAGATTCGCCACGAGGTCCACAAAACTCTGGACAAGAAGGGAACAAGATGAATAAGGGACAATTCATGTAGGAACAAGTTAACTACAAAACATGCTCCTCAAAAGCTATCATTATTTTCACTGTCCCCTGCCCTCCAGACACAAATATAATTTCATTCCATAGATGCAACTCTCTGCTGACTGTGTATACCTCAATGACTATCATTTTCCAATCAGAATAGAGCATTTTCCTGTCCTTTCCTAGAAATGTATCTCCTTTGTTTGGTGTTGCAGACTCCAATAAGATGTGATTTTCAGATATGATCCCATTGGCCCTTAAAGATCTGTCTGATATACTAATTATTACCATGTTATTCAAATATTCTCTTGCCAGTGACTGTCACTGATATATCTTGCTTTATAACTGAAAAAATGGCTTTCATCTTCTAAGAAGATAATCTAATAAAACCCTAAAAAACAGCTAACCTGCAAGAATTGATATGTTGATGTCATGATATGTTCAAATTCTAAATCTAAGCATGAGATTGGGGTTTAAATAAAAATTTGTGAGTTTACCCAGGCCAAACAGGTATTGGTAAATTAATTTTGTATTTTGAAATTTTGGACAGCATGTTTATTGGTCAGAGTAACTTGTTCCTTGACAAATAACAATTGCCAGATATCAATGGCTTAACACACCAAAACTTGATTTCTTCGTCATACAATGTGGTCAACGTGGGTTTTTCAGAGATCTCTGCTCATCATAGTTGTTTGGGAATCAACTATCTATCTCAATACACATTCACATGATTACCAGAGCCACAGGAAAGAGACCATATCAAATTGCTTAACAAAAGGACACCTAGAAGCATATGTCACTTCCACTCATATTTATTAACCGAAGAAAGTCAAAGTGTCACACCTCACTTCAGGAGGATGAGACAGTGCAAAAACTGTCTGGAAGGAAAATGGGAAATATTTAGTAAATAACCCAAAAGGAAAAAACTATCTGCCTGGAAGGAAAATGGGAAATATTTAGTAAATAACCCAAAAAACTACCATTTTTCTCACTTTTCATATTTACTTGGTGACCAAGTATATTAGTCCACTCTCACATTGCTATAAAGAACTACCTGAGACTGGGTAATTTATAAAGAAAAGAGGTTAATTTGGCTCAGAGATCTGCAAACTGTACAGGAAGCATGGCTGGGGAGGCCTCAGGAAACTTACAACCATGGTGGAAGGCAGAAAGGGAAGCAAGTACATCTTCACATGGCCAGCAGGAGAGTGAAGACGGAAGTGCTACACACTTTTAAACTGCTAGATCTCACTCACTATCACAAAAAAAGCAAGGCGGAAATCTGCTCCCATGATCCAATCACCTCCCCACAGGTCCCTCTCCCAACATTGGGGATTACAATTCAACATAAGACTTGGGTGGAGACACATGGCCAAACCCTATCACCAAGAGTTGTTCATTGAAATCTCATTTCAGTTTCTAGTTTCCATTCATTAGTTGACTTAGTTTATGATCTCATTTCCTTTTTTTTTTTGTTTTGTTTTGTTTTTTTGAGACAGTCTCGTTCTGTCACCCAGGCTGGAATGCGGTGGTGTGATCTTGGCTCACTGCAACCTCCGCCTCCTGGATTCAAGTGATTCTCCTGCCTCAGCCTCCCAAGTAGCTGGGACTACAAGCATGCCCCACCACGCCTGGCTAATTTTTTGTATTTTTAGTAAAGACAGGGTTTCACCATGTTGGTCAGGCTGGTCTTGAACTCCTGACCTCAAATGATCTTCCCGCCTCAGCCTCCCAAAATGCTGGGATTACAGGCATGAGCCACTGGGCCTGGCCCTCATTCCTATTCAAATAGAATATAGAAAAGCCTTTTATCTTTACTCAACAACTCCATACCTTATACCCAGCCATATTGTATTACTTACAGTCCAGTACACTTTATTTCATATCTTCATGCTTCTCACATTTCTCCTTCTGTTATCTTCTCTAACTGAACATCCCACCCTCTCATAGCCATCTCAAATTTTACATCTTTTAAAAAGGCTTCTTAGGCTGGGTGCGGTGGTTCATGCCTGTAATCCCAGCACTTTGAAAGACCAAGACAGGTGGATCACGAGGTCAGGAGATAGAGACCATCCTGGCTAACATGGTGAAACCCTGTCTCTACTAAAAATACAAAAAAATTAGCCAGGCGTGGTGGTGGGTGCCTGTAGTCCCAACTACTCAGGAGGCTGAGGCAGGAGAATGGCATGAACCCGGGAGGTGGAGATTGCAGTGAGCCAAGATTGCGCCACTGCACTCCAGCCTGGGAGACAGAGCGAGACTCCATCTCAAAAAAAAAAGTCTTCTTAGAAAGCCCCACATACTTCTAGCCTGTCTATAATAACACCTTGGTGATGATACTTTATATATATTTAACAAGAACTGTATGTAGAAGAACTAATATGTAGTTGCCCCTAATTTCAAATCCCAAATATAGTCATATATAAGTATACATATATTTATAAATATTTATAAAGGTCTTCTTAAATATCAATCTATCTATCTATCAATAATCACCCTAATGGAAACTCCATTAGGGCGATTATTGATATCTAATCATTTAATTTTTATAAAAATATAAGCTCCATAAGTGGAAGAATTATTCTTATAGAATAGTCATGACCATATACTACCATTTCACATTTCTATGCTTGTATTCCTATATTTTTAGTGTTTATGTCCCTGATGGCTACAATACTACCTGAGTTCAATAAAAGCCAAGCAAATCTATTAATTTTTACCAAGAAATGTAACTGACAGGCATTCCTGATAGATCATACTGGAAAGAAAAGCTTTCTTAAAACAATCAATATACATAATCTGTTGTTAATATTGACTTGAAGAAAAATCGAGTTAATAGGTCTTCAAGAGCATTATGATCAATCTGTCATGGTTTTTCAGTACTCCCTTTGCCAAAGCTGATTGCATCTTCCTTGGATTGTGTATGACATAGCCTGAGAGTTGTGCTCTTTTCTAAAACTCTTCTAGAATGTGATTTTCTTATTACTTATCATTGAACAATTCCTATCACTCAGTTCCCTACTTTTATAACTTGATACAATTTCCAAGGTTACAGCTGTTATTTGTAACCTATGAGGCTCCTTGTTTTCTATTATTTCCCAGAAAAGTATTTCACTCTCACCTGAGATGATAGAGACAGGGCCCCTACCCCTAATGGCAACTGTAGGAATTTATTATCAGGGATCAGAACCAGAAACTTTATTATCACTGTTCATAAGTGGATGTATTCTCAACAATAAGGGCTAATGTTTTGATAGTCAGATAAGAATTCTCAAAAGTGTGCATATGTGTGCAGTGCTGGATGGAAGATGAGTATGTGTTCAATTGCTTTTAATCACTTATTTGCATTAGTACCACAGGGCCACTAACACGGCCCATGTTTTGTACAGCATTCTTTTTCTGGGAGTCCTGCACACTTGTAATGTGAGGAATTTCAACATACAGCTAAAGAAAAATGCAAGAACAACTCATTCATATATCAAACTCATTGAAGTTACCCCTATTATTCCAAATCCTAAATACAGTCATTCAGGTGATATAAATTAGGAATTTCTACTGTACAAGTACATAATGTCCTCAGTCTACCCTGTCATATTTTAATTTACAGTCTTATTATGATTAAGAGTAACTATTAATGACATAACATCTCTTTGTCGTTGCTTTTTAAACCACAAAGTGCATATTCTCAGTAAACAAGAACTAAAACCTCCCTAGAGGTAACTCATTGTTTTCCTGGTGGTCTTGAGATTCACTGAATTCCTTGTAGCTCTGTGTTTGTCTTTGGAATAAGATCAGAAAAAATAAGCTCAGGTCCACTCTAGAGGAACCTGAAAGATCTCTTAGACTTCTAACAGGAGGAGAGTTTTAGTCTCTTTTTCTCCCCCCTTCACTAAAACCGTATCCTTTTTGTACAACTGTCACTCAGTAGTAAGCTCAATTCTTTAGTATCATCTTCCCTCGTCAGGACCTCCTGGAGATACTCCAACGGAATGGAAAATATTTGAAGTTTCTTTAAAAGACTGGCTGGTCTATGTGTTGTCAGATTAATTTTCTAGGAAGCTGGAGGGTTCCCCTATGTAAATGAGAGTATGAATTTTGCATACCACAGGAAACTAAGAGAACATATTGGTTGTCTATCTTCTTACAGTCTTCTTCCTTTCTAATATAACCTAATTGTTTCAAATATGCTTTTCCTCCATGTACCTCATGAGGAACTGACCTCGTAACTACCTTAGCAGGAGTATCATGATTAGGTGACAGTCATGATCTAGATAGTTACCCGTGAATATGACAGATTTGGGGGAGAGGAGGGAGGGGATGTGTAATCATTAAGACGGGTCTTCATAAGGCTTCTAGGAAAGGTTTTCTAGTTCTTAAAAAAACACACTGAAAGAAGGGATTTCTTTTCTGCCTTTGGACACTGCTGCTTCTTGATGTGACCCAAGAACTGCTGCAGCAACCTGCATACAGGACAGGAAACCTGAGGGTGGCTGGACCCAGAAACAGAAAGAATCAGATCCTTCAGACCATTATTGAATTGTTGATCATACTGCTCCTGGAGTGGGCCTGTCTTCTTATTCCAACTTTCAGCTATGTAGGGAAAAAAAAATTCCCTTACTCAAAGTATTTTAAATCAGATTTAGAAACAATTTATTTCTGTCTCAGTGTCTTTGCTTACTTTTTGTTGTTGCTCACCACATGACTCAATGACAAAATCATTTTAATTTCTCATTGGTTCTAACGAGGCTTGCCAGAGAAAATACAGGACATTCCAGTAAACTTAAATTTCAGATCAACAATGAATCATTATTTTACAATAATTATGTTCCATGCAATGTTAGGGACATAGTAATACGAATAATTATTTGTCATCTATCTGAAATTCAAATTTAACTAGGATGTCCAAATTTAACTAGGATGAAACTCAATTTTAGAATATCCTATAATTTTGTCACATTTAGCAATCCTAGTTCTATTAGAACAATGTTGGGAAGAAGATTTTTAAAGTTACTTCTCAATAGCCAGTGGGGAGTAACATAAAATATTGTGCGTGATTTGATTAACAGGCATCTGACCTGATTCACAGGGCATTTGGGGATGAGAAAAAAAGAAACTAACTCAAATTTCTATTCAAAAACATAGATGTAATAGTCAAAATGCATATGTGCAAAAAAACAAATACACGATGCCCTGATGTATATTATGGAAATAAGCTAAAAAGGGGGGGAATTTCCTTTGACACCAATCTTGCATTACTGCTCCTAAAACATGCTTATGAAAGGCGTTGCAGTGGTCCCTCCTTATCCATAAGGAATATGTTCCAAGACTCACAGCCTTGGAAAGGGGTGCCTAAAACTACAGACACTACTGAACCCTATATATGCTATTTTTTCCCTATCCATACATATCCATGATAAAGTTCAATCTATAAATTAGGTACAGCAAGAGATTAACAGTAATAACTAATAATAAAATGGAACAATTAGAACAATATTCCTGCATCGCTACTCTTGAGCTTTGGAGCCATTACTAAGTAAAATAAGGCCTACTTAAACACAAGCATTGCTATACTGCAACAATTGATAGGTTAACCAACATAGTTACTAAGTGAGCTGATAACGAGGATAGCTACTAAGTGACTAAGGGGCAGGGTGTCGCATACGTGACTTGCATGCTCTGGACAAAGGGCTGATCCACATCCTGGGTAGAACCAAGCCAGATGGCGCAAGATTTCATCAAGCTATTCAGAATGGCTTGCAATTTAAAACTTATGAATTTTTATTTCTGGAACTTTTAATTTAATGTTTTTGAACAATTTGACCACAGGTAACTAAAAGTGCTAAATGCAAACCGCAGGTATTGGGGACTGTACTTATAAACTAACTCCTACTTTTTGTTATCAACCCAGGCTCACATCTGTTCAGATAGAGCTTTATATTGGAGATCTGCAGATATGTCATTTAGCCTCTGCATCAATTAAAAACAATTCATAATATTTAATGAAGAGAGATTAGGGAAAGAGTTAGCTAGTTTACTCTGTTGGTAAAAGTGCACGAGAATGTGATAAATAAAGTTCTGCATTTGAGGCCCAGAAAATATAAATAGAAAAAAAGAAATTTAAAAATGGGCATGTATTTTCTTATTTTTGTAAGTGTTTTTAAGGTTTTAAGCAATGTCTTTAACCTTACATTTTTAATGTCTAAAATGGGAAAACAACTTGTTACCGTATAATATTTTGTTGGTGGGTGTGAAAGCACTTCACAGATAATAAGTCCTAGTGAAATTATAAGTTAGCCTTATGAGTACCTCAGTTAAAATAGGTTCCATTAAAATCATCAAGTAAAGAACTCAAATTCTGGAAATACTGTCACCACTGCAAAGCACAAGTTGATTTCAACTTCTCTTTCGAAGAACCCATTTTACATCACGACTTCCCTCTAAAAAGGTCAATTTCTTTTGTGCAGATCGGATTATCAAATTATCCTGTGATGCAGATGCTCTCCATAGCAGGCAACTAGGTACTATGAACTCTGTAAATATTTTTCTAAAGAGCAAATGTGGACCTCTTTCTTCTATATTAATGACATTTATTTGAAAATTTTTTCTTAAATTTACAAATGAAGATTGTTCAACTTGTCATATTTGAAACTTTGACCTTCCAATTTGATTATGTTGACTTTCAGCATTTATCTGTAGAACTATAGATAAATTGGAATGCTTTATTAAAAAGCAATTCTCCTGCCACAGGGGAAATAAATGGAATAAGTTATTAAGTTCATTTTAAAACTTTGATTATTTTAGAACTAAAAATATACATTACCTACAGTAGCCTGTGGAAGCTAAACTGTTTTTGAGATCTCAGAGGTTTACAGGAAGAAATGTTTGTAAATTGTTAATCAGGATAAACACATTTCAATCAAACACATAGAAATTATAATTGTTCTTTAAAACTCTCACTTTCAAGATATTGCCAGAGTAAATGATTATCTTCTAATTATACAATTGTTCTTGCAACATTTCAGTTCCAATCAACATTGTTATGGTACAAAGATACAGAACAAAATGAAATATCTTTACTAACATAAAATAATCTATAATATTACAACTACACCTGCATTATTTCTAGGACCTTTGCCTCTTTTTGCACAAAAGAGAAAAGTTGATTAATTTCAACACTTTTTGAATTGAAATGTGTTTTCCTAATAGTACAATGGTGTTGTTTGGTGAGAAATGCTAATGCAAACTTAAAATATATTTGTGAGCACAGAAAAACTCAATAGCAACTTTTTATTTTATTCTATTTTATTTTATTTATGGCAGAAGGAAGGAAAGATAAGTTCGAAGAAGATATTTCTAGACATTAATACATACAAAAATAAAATTAAAAGTTCTCTAATTCATGTTAAAACAATTTGTTGGGGAAAAAAGAATTTTAAAGTGTGTGACAATGTCACCATAAAATCTTCAATTTAAAGGCTTAGATATGTCAAAAAGCTTTTTGATAGTTGGAAATACTTTTTTTTTTTAATTTTTTTGAGACAGAGTCTCGTTCTGTCACCCAGGCTGGAGTGCAGTGACGTGATCTCGGATCACTGCAACCTCCTCCTCCCAGGTTCCAGCAATTCTCTGCCTCAGCCTCCCGAGTAGTTGGGGCCTGCCACCACGCCCGGCTAATTTTTTGTATTTTTAGTAGAAACGAGGTTTCACCATCTTGACCAGGCTGGTCTTGAATTCCTGACCTCATGATCCACCTGCCTCGGCCTCCCAAAGTGCTGGGATTATAGGCAAGAGCCACCACGCCCGGCCTTGGAAATGCTTTTAAAAAAAGAAATAGAAAAGAAAATCCATAGGCCATAGAAAAAGAAATTATTGGTTTTGTAAGTATGCGGTTGTAAGGAATGTCCTTCTTGAAGAAAAGGTTTTTTACTGAGGATGGAGATAGATATGTATATATCTCATAATTCTCAGTGTTGAGAGAGATAGAGAAGAAAGAGAAGGAAGGAAGGAAGGAAGGAAGGAAGGAAGGAAGGAAGGAAGGAAGGAAGGAAAGAAGGAAGGAAGGAAGGAAGGGACATTTAGCTAATCAGAAGTAGAGTAGGCAATTTAATCATTGACCACAGTGATGCTAGTGATTGGTGTGAGGTTACTGTAGCCAAGGTGGTCAACTTATATGTCTAAGTGGGACAATCCCTAAAAGCAGTCAATAAGGTTCTACAGAAGTGTGATTCTCAGATTATTAGATCTCACCAAGTGAGATTCTTTGACATCCCAGTAGCAATTCTATGTCATTGCATTCATATTGCATTGCATTGACATTGCCTTCATATTGCATTTTATGACATCCCAGTAGCAATAAGCAATAAAACTAGACCTTAGTTCCTAATATCACAATTTATTAAAATAATTTAGGGTTGCTTGGAGAAATTGTTGACTCTCTGGCCAGGTAAGAGAAAATGCAAAATAAGCTTGAATAATCTTCTTATTTAAGAAAGTAATATAGTATTCAAAACATGATAAGGGCATGTCCAAAGGATATGGGAGTCTGCTTGGAGGATTCCAATGGCCAAATATAAGAAAAATAAGCAATAAAATAAAATAAATAATAAAAGCATATAATCTATAAAATGACAACAACAAAAAGGATTCACCAGTTTATGCTGAATGAATAAATGGTGTTGAAAGAAAATGGCATGCTCACAATAGAATGCCAACTAATAAGTGTAGAAAGGAGGATGTCTATAGAAAAATTATCACCCTGTAGTAATTTTTGATCTAAGCAAGGATCATCATGAAATATAAAACTAGCATGTGAAGGTTTTGAGTAATAGAATATTTATGTAGTCTCCAGGTATCTCTCTGAAAATTATTAATCACAAGGGAAATAAGGTAACATTTTAGTAAAGAAACCTTGAATACACCACCTTAACCATTTATTAAGTTAATATAATGGGTCAAGAAGACCTCGTATGGCTCCTGATAACCTGCTCTGAGAAGGAGGAAACATCAGTTCCATAAGATTCCTGTCTAAAAGGCATCGTCTGAGCCTAACTCAGGCCTATGTTGTATGAAGAAACATCACACAAACCTCAATTGAGGAATATTCTGCCAAAGAATTGTCCTGTACTACTCAAAAAAATCACGGTCATGAAGACAAAGGGGAATTAAAGAAGTGTTCCAGATTAAAGTGGACTAAAGAGGCCAGGCATGGTGGCTCATGCCTGTAATCCCAGCACTTTGGGAGGCTGTGGGGGCGGATCATGAAGTCATGAGTCCAAGACCAGCCTGGTCAGATGGTGAAGCCCCGTCTCTACTAAAAACTACAAAAAATTAGCCAGGCGTGGTGGCCGGTGCCTGTAATCCCAGCTACTCCAGAGGCTGAGGCAGGAGAATCGCTTGAACCCAGGTGGCAGAGGTTGTGGTAGACCGAGATTGCGCCACTGCTCTTCATCCATGGAGTGAGACTCCATCTCAAAAAAAAATTGACTAAAGAGACATGACACCTGAATGCAACGCCTTAGACTGGATTGGATCTTGGACTTGGAAGAAATAACTGTAAAGAACATTATTGAGATAATTAACAAATTTGATTATAGATTACAAGTAAGACAAATATTTTATGTGTGTAAAATTTTCTGATTTTAATAATTGTACTGTGATTATTGTCTTGCTCTATTTGGTGCTGCTATAACAGAATACCTAAGACTGGGTAATTTATAATCAACAGAAATTTATTGGCTCACAGTTCTAGAGCCTGGGAAGTCCAAGATCAAGTCACAAGCATCTGGTGAGGGCCTTCTTGAGTGCAAGAGAGTGAACCCACACAGGACTGGGTTCACTCTCTTGCACTCTTGCTGATCCTCACAAGGAAGAAGGAAGATCAGCAAGGGTGCAAGACAGTGAACCCAGTTCTATGCGCCCTTTCTATAATGGTATTCATCTATTCATAAAAGCAGAGTCCTCAAGACCTAAACACCTCTCATTAGATTCTACCTCCCAATACGGTCTCATTGGGGATTAAATTTTCAACATATGAATTCCAAAGGACCAATTCAACCCAAAGCATTCTGCCTCTGACCCATCAAATTTATTTCCTTCTAACATGCAAAATGCATTTATTTTAAAAGGTAGAAATAGGCAAAAAGAAAGTAGTAACAGGTCCCAAGCAAGTTCATAACACAACAGAGTGAAGAACACTGAATTCTAAGGTATGAAAATAATCTTTGTCGCCATGTTCCACCATCCAAACACTGGGAAAGGAGTTGGGCCCTAAGGCCTCAATAATCCCTGAAAACTACTGTTTTCTACTACTGTTAGAATGATACAGCAATTATTACCAGTACCCTACTCATGGTTCCAGCCCCTGTGACTTTTCTGGGCTCAGCCCACACAGCAACTGTCACAGGTTGGACTCATGCCTGCAGCTCTCCCAGGCTGGTATTGCACCCTTGTGGCTCTGCAGTTCTGGGGTCTTGAAGGTGGCTCCATTCACATGGATTCATTAAACATTGCCCTGTCAGGGACTCTCTGGGGTGACTCTGCCCCCGTGGCCAATCTCTACAGCATTCATTAAATCTAGATGGAGAAAATCATGTCTCCAATTGCCATGTATCCTGCATGATTATAAAACTAGCATCACATGAATGCCACTAAGGTTTATGGCTTATACCTCTAAAGTAGTGGCTGGAGACACACTTGGGCCTGCTTGAAACACAGCTGGGGTGGCTGAGAAGTGCAGCATCAAAATGAGGGAAGAAGAGGCCTAAGGTGGCTTTGGACAGTGAGCACTGAGGTCCCATGGGCACCAAGGATCTCTCCCTCAAAATCTCTCTGCCCTCAAGGCCCTGGCATTCTGGGCCTGTAATCAGAGTGGAGACTTGCCACTCTGAAATGCCTGCAGGGTCACTCCCCATTTCCTTGATGAATGGCTCCTGGCTTCCTTCTATCTACACTAGTCTTCTTATCAAACAGTCCTTTGGCCACACCCCTGTTTTTTTTTTTTTTTTTTCTCCTAAACAGGTCATTTATTCTTACATGGCCAGGTTGGGGATTTTCCAAATCTCTTCATTCTTCTACTCTTTTGATTGTAAATTTTAAGTCATTTCTCTCTTCTTGCATTTTACTATATATAGTAAAGAGAAGAGACAAAACTCCCTCAATGCTTTGCAGCTTACAGATTGCTTCTGGCAGATATCCTAGTTCATAGCTCTTAAATTCTGCCTTCCATAAAGCCCTAGGGCACGGATACAATTCAGCCAAGTTCTTTGCCACTTTAGAACAAGTGAAAAACTTGTTCTAACAAATTTAGAAATGCCATTGCCTTTCCTCCAGTTTCCAGTATCTTATTCCACATTTCCCTCTGAGACTTCCTCAGTATGGCCTTTACTTTCTGTATTTCTACTAACATTCTGTTCATGACTATAAACAGCTTTTATCTTCTTTTCATCTCTCACTAGCATTGCCCTTAATGTTCAGTTCACAGAAATTAGGACTTTTAAAGCCTGGTGCTTCAAATTCTTTCAGCTTCTACCCATTACCAACTTCTAAAACTGCTTTCACATTTTCAGGTATTTGTCAGCAATGCCCCACTCCTGGTACCAATTTCCTTTATAGCTCATTTTGTGCTGCTATAACAAAATACCAAATATTGGGTAATTTATAATGAACATAAATTTATTGACTCATGTTTCTGGAGGCTGGGAAGTCCAAAATCATAGCACTGACGTCTTGTGTCTGCAGAGGGTCTTCTTTCTGTGTCTTTACATGAAGGAAGGTACAAAGAAAAGAAGAAATAAATGTTGTGTCCTTACATGGCAAAAGAGTGAAAGAGAGTGAATTCACTCCCAAAAGCCTTTTATTATAGCAGCATTAATCTATTCGTGAGGGCAAAGTCCTCACAATCTAAAAACTTCCCATTAGGTCTGACCTTTCAATACTGTTGCATTCAGGATTAAGTTTCAAAATGAGTTTTGGGGGGGACAAAAACATTCAAACCATAGCAAGTATGAAAGAATGTTATTTTTCTTAAAAAGGAGACAATGAATTACTTAGGGTAAAGTGGCATTATCTGACATTTACTCTCATATAATTCAAGGGAAAAATACAACCAGACCAGGAGAGGGAGAGAATTATGCAACAAATGAAAACAATGTTAATTCATAAATCTGAGTAAAGAGTAAATGTAAATTCTTTACAGCATATTCAGACTTTTTAAAATAAGTATTAAATTAAATCAAAATTTAAATTTACCAAAATTCATTTTCTATCTGTCTCAATGCATGCTGGCTTCATGGATGTATAACCTACATTGTCACGCAGGCCTCATGTGCAGAAACTCCTCACACTTGACTTAATGCTGTCCTGTTGCTGTCTTAAAATTCTTAATAATCTTACCTTTGAATTGTATTTTGTAAGCCAAGTCACATAGAACAATGGAGCAAAGAAGATAAGCACAATATGTACACATTGTGCCCCGCTGCCATATATGCATATAGTGTTCATGGTGTCCTGAGAGTGCCTAATTCCAGTGGAACCACCATAAAAGCAAGTACAAGTAAGTGAGCTACTTCTTCAATGGAGTAATTATGCTAACAACCCAGAGATTCCATGCTTTCCTTTTGAACAGGGCTTGGTTCAAATACAGGAAAAAGGCGATGGCATTCTAAGAAACAGAAATGATCAAGGAACCCTGTTATATTTCTCTTATTTATGATATTCCTGTACTAACCAAACACCAAAGCTGAAAATAATGCCATAGAAGGAAAAGGAAAGACAGGGAGCTCATTGATCCTTTTTTTCAGTCCTTTCTTACTCAGCAAGACAAAGGTAAAGCATGTTAATAGACACTGCACACTTCAAGGAGCTAAAAACATTGGAGTCAGTTTTGTGCGGTATTTCCACTGTTCCAGTAAGAACAAAATAAATATGTGATATAAGCTACTAAATATGAATTGTGTAATTTTGGCTATTCTGGATATGAGTTAAATGTTCTTACTTTCGCATTTAAAACTTTCATTGTACACTACAAATATAAACAATAAACGCTACGCTAAAATTTAAAAGGCTAATTTTTCTTAATTTAGAAAAACATTAAATAGCAAATATAACCTCTGGAAAGTCAAGAAAGAAACTGCAGCAGCAGAAAAAACACTTTACATTGTAATACCTTTCATTTTTTTTTTTGCTTTTTGAAGAAGTGGCCTCACATTTTTCATGTTGCACTGGATCTGGAAGCTTGTGTATACTCAAATCCTCCCCAGTAGAAGCGACATTGTTGCATTATGTCAGAATCTCATTTTTACTTCTCTATCACTAACAGCATCTTTTAAATGTTTTCCTATGAAAACCTATGCAGTTCTCACTGCTCTGACTGCAGGGACAACCTTATTCATCTGATTTAGCTTCAAACACGGCACAAAGGTATGAATCTTTGGTATTTATAAAAGCTCATAAAACAATTCATTTTTAGAGCCCACCATTTGTGGAACAATGCTTAAAACCTGGATCAAATCCAGAGAAGAAAACCCAAGGAAGTCAGTGATTTAACCATTTGTTGCCAGAGGAACCACTGAAAGAATTATTTTGTGTCAAAAGTGGAAAAATCTGGGTGGCGTAGGAACATGAAAAGCTGTCCCCAGTTATAAGACTATAATAAGATTAGCTGCTGCCTGTTACTGAGTGCTTGCTATGTGCTGGACTTTCTGCCAGGTGCTTCACTAAACTTTTATTTCCTCCTTGAAACAGTTTTTTGAGGTAGATACTTTTATCTCATTTGATAGATAAGAAAGGGGCATGGAGAAATGGAAGGTCACACAACTCATAAGATGTACAGCTGATAATTAAACTTACATCTGCCCTAATACCAAATCTTGGCTGTTAATCTCTACCCTACAGTCTAAGAGCATTTGTTTAGTACAACTGAAGAGGTAAATTGAGAACAATGAGAGTAAAAATTATTGAGAGAAATATTTGATTTCAAGATAAAAGCATGGATCATTTTTATAGCCCCTGGTTTATGGAACAACATTTAAACCCTGGACCAAATCTAAGGGAGAAAACCCAGATAAGTGGGTGACTTAGCTACTTGTTTCATGAAGAACGACTGAAAAAACATGGAAAAATCAAAGTGTTCTGAAAGCTGCCAGTAAACAGAAGGCATTGTCCTTCAAAGTTATGGGCTTACCGCCACTAGTAATACTAGAAACAGCTTGAATGAACTTTGTAAGAGCATTTGTTAGAAAAGGTAATAGAATTTCAAAGGTAAAATCAAGGGTGATTGTGGACAAAGAACTTGAATTTGATTTCTATTTTAGCATTAAATAATTGTGAGATTTGAGGAAATTATTTAACTTGTCCAAGACTAAGTTTCTTCATCTGTGAAATAGGAATAATAATGCAACATGAGTTGCTGTGAAGATTGAATATAAAGTGAAGCACTCACTTCAGTACCTTGCATAGACAGCACCTATTCAGGAAGGATAACAATAACTATTTTGGTGTTCATGTGTGTGACAAAGGCAGTGATAAGAAAGGATTTCTACTTTGATTGAGGTATTGGACTAGGTAATATTAGAACTTTCTTCAATTATGAATTTATATAGAAAATGGGTCAATATCTAAAACTGTGAACTTGGCAGAAAGTTCAAGGCAGAAGTTAAAGATAGATAGAAAGATAGTAACTGGGATTTAAACTGAAACCCCAGGCACAGGTGGAGAATAAAGGCAGGATATAAATACCAAACACACTATTTCGGCATGAGGGAAGTGATTCTGTACCTGAGGAAGGTGAAGAAGGGCTGGAGGTTATATATTGCTCTCTAGCTATGTTCTCTAACATGGTAGCCACTAGAGTCATATGGCTGTAAAAATTTAAAAATCATGTTTTTAGTTTTTTTGTCATATTTGTAATTCCCAATAGCTGCATGCACCTAATGGTTACTGTCTTGGATAAAGAAGATGGAGAACATTTGCATCATTGCAGACAGCTCTATCGGACAGTGCCTATCTTCAGAAAAAGGCAAAGTGCTACTAGATCCTCAGACTAGATCCCTATTTTCTCTTCTTATTACGTCTAGCCACTTAATTTCCCCTTCCCTTGCTGACTATTTCGAAGGAAACCAAGAAAAGCTCTGTGGTAAGCAGAATTTTAAGAAAGCTTCCCAAATTTCCATCACTGGTATACACATCCTACGTAATCTTACTCCTTTGAGTGTGCGTGGGCCTAACCTACTCAGATAGGCCCTTTTAAATGAGGATCAAGAAATAAGACAAAGGAGAAGCCAGCAATTCAAAGCAACAGAGACATTCTGTTGCTAGCCTTAAAAGGAGCAAATGGCAATGTTGTGGAGAAAGCCATATAGCAGGGAATAGCAGGCAGATTCTAGAAACTCAGAGCAACCCTTGTCAATAGTAAGCACGAAAACTGGGATCTTGGTCCTACAATCAAAGGGAAATGAATTATGTCAACAACCTGAATGGCCTCAGAAGAGGACTCTGACCCTCAGATGAAAACCCAGCCATGATCAACACCTTGATGTCAACCTTGTGGGATGCTAAGCAAAGAACCCAGTTGAGCCCTGCCTGGACTTTGGACCTACAGAAATTTTAAATGGATATTGTTTCAAGCTCCCAAATGTGTGACACATTTGTTATGCTATAATAGAAAGCTAACATAAGCCACTTGTAAACACAATAACACACACACACATATGTGAAGCCCATTCACCATGCACTGGTTATCAACTTGTCTGAGGCTGGTAAGACAGAACACTTATGCATGTAAGTTACAGGAAGTTACAGGAAGCAGATGTATTACTTACAAATAGGCAGCAAAGGGCAGCAGAAGCCTAGGACTCATTGTGAGTCAGTTCTCTTAGGCTCAGGAAAGCTGCCTGGGGCAGATGGAGTCTCCACTGTGCATGCCCCACTTGCACCACAGCTGAGGGACCCTGAAGGGCAGGTTGCTCCAGGGTATATACCTCAGGGGCAACATAAAATGCTGGGCAAAAGTATTGAAATTTCTAGGGCAGAGAGAAAAAGCCTGTCATGTTCCAACCAGTCCCTTCCTTATCTCAGGATATTATATTCTCAAAACACGCTACAATTTTTTCCTGAGAACTGCAAATGAAAAAGGGGAGAGAAATGGGTCAGTCCAAGGCCACCCAGAGAACTGTCCTGCAACATACACACACACAGAGACAAACTCACCCACACTCATACATGCACACACTCATACACACACACATACACACACACATTTTTTTCTCCTTTAAAGCACACAAAAATATAGATTTTTAAAAACATAATGTGTTTTTGTTTCACTAGGATAAAGGTTTAAATGAAAATATGTTCAAAGTTTTACTGCTGGCAATGGCAGAGGCACAGAGAAGAGGTGAGGCAATTAGCTGGGATTCCAGCATTTTCACATTTTCTTTAAATAGAATCAAATGTACTTGATTCTCAACAACTCTGAAAAAGAAAAGAATACATTTATACTGTAACAAAGAGAACCCTTCCAAAGTGTTTGTTGTCTGCTTAAGATACCAATTTATCCCACATCATGGTTGAAATTGTTCTCCTATTTTCAGGTTAGATATCTGTACTCCAAGAGCCCCTGTTGATGTGTATTGTATTATGTCATATGTGGGTAAAGAGGGAACGGGTCTCATGAAAACTTGCTGCTAGCTTAACACAAGCTGATCTCTCACTTTCTAATAGAAAACAGACCTAAAGAGAATGGGCTTACTATGAGACAAGCTTGGAAAGGGAGGAGAGGAAATGGGAAAGATCAGGAAGTGTTTGCACAGCAGGCAGATCAGGATGGGCCCCTCGGTGAGCACCCTTCCCTGAGACAGAACAGCTGGAACACATGCCAGGCACCCAGAGGGCAAGGATGAAGCTTCAGAAAGGGGAAGTGAAGAAGACTGAGACTAATTTTACCCACTTGATAATTTTGCTCACTGCCCCCTGTTGTGTAAACACCAGCTTTTGGTCACATACACATTATCTGCCCTTAGAAAGAAAACATCTAAAGATGTCTTGCTGCCCTAGGTGGCTCTTGACAGGAACTTGAGGAATCCCTGAGGAGAGGAGATATTTTTAAGAAAGAACGAGAACCCAATTGACTTTGCCATTGATGAACTTTGTACAGCTCTTTGTCAGAGGGGAGATGGAAGACAGATTCAGAATCTATACATGAAACAAGGTTGCTGGGGAAAACAGACTTCTAATGGTTTTCTGCCACCCCTTTTGTAAAGAAAAATATCTTTGAAGGGGAATAATTTCTCAACAATAGTATTATTGCCATCTAAGGAATTACAGCAGACAGAAGAGGACAAGTATGAAATATAACTGACCAGTCAACTGAAATAAGCTGAAATTCGAAAACAGGTACACTGGATAGCATTGTGTTTAAATTTAGTTTACTATACTTTTAATAAAATAGAACATTCGAAATGTGCTGTTCTCTAATTTTTCCTCAGGTGAGTTAGCCTTGCCTGTCCATGTGTACCTTGAAGTCAGGGGTTTATTTTCTCTTGGATCCATCTTAAATCTATCACGCTGGGCAGGAGATAGAGGGCCAGTGGAAAGAGGCTGATTATTTAACCATAAACACTGATGTCAAAGGTCAAGACCAATAACTATTTATGTGCATATGACACAATGTCATCTTTATACTTACATACCCACCATGACATCCACATACCTCTCAAATATGGAAGTAGGCTATGGTGGAATGTGACAAATGTCTTGTGGTCCTCCCTATTCCTGGAGGGAAAAAAAAACCCAAAAGACAAAAAGTAGCATTTCTTCTCCTCAAGTCTCACCTTGATTCTACCTTCAAACAATGCGACATTCAATTATGCTATTAGAAGAAGAGCATTTCCCCAAGAGTGAGAATGCAAGACTGGCAGAATATTTGCTTTGTAAATTGGGGGTTACCTGTTCAACCTTATATACCCATAGATTCTTGGTGACTATGTCACATGCTTCAGTCAAAAGTAGTTGCAGCATACACTTTAAAGGACATACATCATCATACTTCAGCCAAACAGCTTCTATATGACAGCTTATAATTTTCTGACTAAATATAAGATTACTAGGAACATGCAGATAAAAATAAAGAAGCAGAAAAAAAGATAGGTTGACAAAACTAAGGCAGATGAAGGAATTCTTGGCTGCAATATCATTCATAAATTATAAGAATGACTACAGAATGCCATTTCAAGGGGAGTATTCTTCCTTCCCCAGAATACACTTTCCTGGGTGTATTTACATGAGTTAGGATTACATTTTTCCTACACAGCTGAACCCATCCTGGAGATTAGACATATAAAACTATTTTGACCATTAAACATAAGTTAAATGTTTTTTCTTTCAGATACCTGTAAATATATTATTATAGATGGTAGCATTTTAATATACTTCCAGGATACATTTAGAGTTTTCTGAAACTATCAATATTGAAAGAAAGAACCAAAGCTTGAAATTTTGGAGTATTAGTCCTTATTGCCTTCAATATAAAGCCTAAAAGACATAGCATAATCTTTTTCCTGCTCTTCCATTCAACACTATATTTTACCGTATCAGTTTGTTTTGCTGCATAACACATAAACCCAAACTTTGTGACTTATGTAACAATCATTTATATTGCTCAGTTTGGTGATTTGGATGGGTTCAGATGGGTAATTTTTCTGGTCTCAACTGGGTTCACTTATACATCTATGACCAGGTGCCAGATTGGCTTGTAGCAGGTTGTTTGGGGATGGCCTCAGCCGGAATGGCCTTTGCGCCACATGGTTTTTCATTGTCGGGTAGCTCAACTCGTGCTTGTTCACATAGTGGCTGGGCAGGTTTCCAGGTGAGTGAAGAGAAGTATCAAGATCTTTTATGTCTATGTTCAGAACCGGCACCTTTCTTCTGCCACATTCTGTTGGCCGAGTAAGTTAAAAAATTACTTTTGATTCAAGGGGTAAATAGACTCAACCTCTTGATGGGAACATCTAAAAAGTCATATTATTAATTTCATGGATCTAGGGTGGGGAATACTTACATTCTTGTTGGCAGTTTTGCTTTCCGTGGTTTCAGTTACCTCACAGTCAACCTCAGTCTGAAAATAGTAAATGCAAAATTCCAGAAGTAAAGATTCGTCAGTTTTAAAGTGTGTGTGCTTTTTGAGTAGCATGATGAAATCTCTTGCCATCCCATTCTGCTCCCTTGGGGCATTTTTGCAAATAATTTACTACACACCCTAGATTCTCGATTATATACTTTTAATACTCTGAGTGGGTGATATTCTCCCTTACCTCTATGCCTTTACATATACGGTGACCTCTTCCGCATGTTTCACTGCTTCTATTCTCTAATGCCTTTCACGTATACATCAAGATTAGGCCAATATTACTTCTATTAGGAAGACTCCTCTGAACTCTGGACTAGATAGGTTCCCCTCCTCTGAGCTCTTGTAATCCTTAGTTTGTGCATCCTTACAAAAAGGTATTAAAATTTTTCTATCATTAAAATGCCTCCCATAGTTGAGAGAAGAATTAAGAGATTTTTAAAATTTATTTTCATAACACAAGGTCTCATAGATAGTATTCAATACATGTTTATTAACCAATAAGAATGTATTAGATATTCATACACAATTGCCAGCAGTAGTGAATCAGTATATGTTTTATAGGTATGAACTTTAAAGTTTCTCTCTCTCTCAGCCCAGCCTAAAAGATGTGAAATTTCATAAAATTAATCTAAATAGTCACTATTTAAAAAAAAATCAGAGCAACTGAACTGTTCTATCCAACAATTTCTTCTCCAAAAGATAAAATTGGATCCTTAATGTTATCAACTAATTCAGACACCGTAAGTTATACAGTGTGTTAAAAAAGTAATGCACCTGGCAATCAGTCCTGAAGGACTCCATTTGTCACCTCTCCATGAGGATTTCCTACAATTTACTGCTATCCTACATATTTTAGGCTACAATCAGTTTTGTAGCTAAGTTGGCACTTAGACTGAAGTCTAGCATTTTGTTCATTAACTTTTTCTATGATAGACTGTCAAAAGTCCCATCTGAACTCCTGTTAAATTACGTCTACTTCTGTACCCTAATATAATTACTTGGTCACTGCCATGGCAAACTATAAATTGTCTGATAAAACCTATTTTTCCTTTCAGTGACCTAAAATACAAGTTTCTATTTTTTACTTAAATGGGTCAAATTGCTTGTTTCTCATAAAGGATTTCAAAATTTTGGTTGTTTTAATTCAGGTACTTACCCTCTTAACTTTTATATATAATACAGATGCATAGTATACATGATTACACTATCTCTCTCCCCAAATAGCCTGACACTCATTTATTAGTGGTTCAATAGCTTCAATTAGAAACAAAAAAGTTTAATAAAATCATACTTCCTCTAAGTCTCAAAACAAGGAAAATACATTACATCATTACATCTGATGTATGAGATAAAAAATCAGTTTTCACTCTGATTTGATAAACTCTCACTGTAAATTTTTCTGAAAAGTACAATTTCAATGAGCAATGGAAGATTTGACATCCCACAAAAATATTTTTATAACTTCTCTTTTTATTTTTAGCCAATTTTTGTATTTTTAAAAATGTTTTAATTCTTATACATGTAGAAGTTAAAAGTACAGATTTCTTACATGCCTATATTACATAGTCATGAAGTCTGGGCTTTAGTGTTACTTGAACCTATTACTCGAACAGTGAACATTGTACCCAGTAGGTAATTCCTCAAGCCTCATTTTCCTCTCACCATCCCACCTTTTGGAGTCTCCAATGTCTATTATTCCACTCTGTATGATCCCATGTACCTGTTGTTTAGCACCAACTTATACTTGAGAATGTGGTATTTCACCTTCTGGTTTTGAGTTATTTTACTTAGGATAACAGTCTCCAGTTCCATCCATGTTGTGGCAAAATATATAATTTCATCTTTTTCATGACTGAATAGAATTCCTATACCTATCTATCTATGTTATCTATAGATATATATATATCTTCCTATATATATATCTTAAGATATATATATATCTTCCTATATATATATCTTAAGATATATATATATATCTTCCTATATATATATCTTAAGATATATATATATCTTCCTATATATATATCTTAAGATATATATATATCTTCCTATATATGTATCTTAAGATATATATATATCTTCCTATATATATATCTTAAGATATATATATATCTTCCTATATATATCTTAAGATATATATATATCTTCCTATATATATATCTTAAGATATATATATATATCTTCCTATATATATCTTAAGATATATATATATCTTCCTATATATATATCTTAAGATATATATTTTTCCTATATATATATCTCTTGAGATACTTCCTATATATATATCACATTTTCTTTATCTGATCCTGTTGATGAACACTAGTTTGATACTCTATTTTTGCTATTGTGAATAGTTATGCTTGACTAATTTTAGTATTTACTAATGACTTTTTAAATGTACTTTGACTTTAAATGTACTTTGTACTAATGACTTTTTAAGTACTGTTCCTTGATTTATTTATTGTTAAAATAGAACTTACAGATAAAAATCACCTAGGCATGTTATCTACTTCATAGGTTCGTCATAAGGGCTAAACACAACATAGGTAATGCACAAGCACATAACCTGGTACATCATGAGCATTCAATGAATGTTATCTATTGTTTTTAAAATTAGTTCCAACTTTATACAATAATTTCTCACAATAACTTTACAGCATTTTCCCTCTCATTTAATTTGAAATGACAGGATTACCTTCATGGAAGCCTTGTAAAACACTACTTATTTTACAATTCTTCATGACCTTCAATCCAGACATTTTTTTTTCCTTTGGATAAAATATTTCTTATTCTTAAATCTTTCCAGCTTTATATTCTAATGCCCTAGCATTTTTTAATCTCAAAGCTAATGTGAGTGGCAAGTTAGCCAAGTGGTACATTATAAAGATGGCATCAAATACTCTCCATATTCACAGAATTGGACTTTCCCATATTCACGAGGACTACAGGCCAGAGTTTAAGCTGGCTCCTGTTTCTCAGTCCTGAATTAGACCCACCTTGTACCATGATGACTGCTATTGCTTCCTGCAGATGGCTTTGAGCTGAAGGTTTCTTGACGCATAAGCGTTATCATGCTTTAAAACTATGTTTTAAGAGGAAAGTCTTTGGAATTTTATTAGGTTTAAAACTACAAACTTTTATGTGTTTAAAACTTGACATGGTTATTTGCAGCTATGTGACTCTGGGCAAGTTACACAACCTCTCAGAGTTCCTTTCTTCATTGGTAAAATGGAGAGGGCAAAGACAATGTTGTAGTGAGGAAGACATAATCCAGACTGAGTTAGATTGAAATGCAAATGAAATATTAGGAAGTAGATGAGGAAGTACAGACCACTATTTTAATCAATTAATTGAACAAAAGTATCAAAATGGACAAAATAGAAGAAAGTATGAAGCTGAATATGTTGGGAGTTTTTTGCATGTGTAATAGTGGTTTCTTTCTCTCACATGGCCAAGACTATGAGTATATGTATAATCTGCACACACGTAGCATTGTCCCCCCTTGTTGGCAGTTTTGCTTTCTGTGGTTTCAGTTACCTCACAGTCAACCTCAGTCTGAAAATATTAAATGCAAAATTCCAGAGTAAAGATTCGTAAGTTTTAAAGTGTGTGGTTTTTGAGTAGCATGATGAAATCTCTTGCCATCCCATTCTGCTCCCTTGGGGCATGAATCCTCCCTTTGCCAGTATACTCACGCTGTACACACTCCTGTCCATTTGTCACTTAAGAGTTGTCTAGGGAATCAGATCAACTGTCACACTATTGCAGTGCTTGTGTTCCAGAAACCCTTATTTTATTTAATAATGGCACAAAGTACAATAGTATTCATGCTGAGTATTTGGATATGCTCAAATGTAGCCAAAAAGTGATTCCTTTAAGTGAAAAGGTAAAAATTCTTGACTAAATAAGGAAAGGAAAAAATGTTTGCTGAAGTTGCTAAGATCTATGGTTAAAAACAAATCTCATATTCTTGAAATTGTCAAGAATGAAAAAGAAATTCATTTGAACTGTAAAAGTTACAGGCACAGTGAGTGATAAGTGCTTAGTTAAGATGGAAAAGGCCTTAAATTTTGGGATAGAAGGCATGAACAGAAACGTGTTGTAATTGATACAATCTGGCTCAGTACTATCTGATATTTCAGGCAACCACTGGGGGCCTTGCAGAATATATCCCGTGGATAAGGAGAGAATACTGCATGCATGAATGTACGTATAGTTAGAAGAGAGAAAATAAATAGAAAACAGAAAGTAGAAAATACAAAAGAGAAAGATTATACCTAGAGGGAAGAACAAATGGAATCAAGAGCAATAGTATAGGAATTAGTTCAGGGAGAAGAAATTCCTCTAGTGTAAGTATAGATAGACAGTCCTGAACTTTGAATGGTTCAATTCATAATTTTTCAATTTTACAGTGCTGCAAAAACTGTATGCATTCAGTAAAAGCCATACTTCAAGTATCCATACAACCATTCTGTTTTTCACTTCCAGTACAGTATTTAGTAAGTTACACGAGGTATTCAACACTTTATTATAAAATAAGCTTTGTGTTTTATGATTTTGCCAAATTGTAGGCTAATATAAGTGTTCTGAGCATGTTTAAGGTAAGCTAGGCAAAGCTATGATGTTCAGTAGATTAGGTGTATTAAATGCATTTTTGACTTACAATATTTTCAATTTAAAACAGGTTCATTGGAACATAACCTTATCATCAGTTGAGAAACATCTGTATTAGTTTGCGGGGACTACTGTAACAAATACCACAGACTGGGTGGTTTAAACAACAGAAATTTATCTTCTCTCAATTCTGGAGGCTGAGTTTGATATCAAGGTGTTGGAAGTGTTGGTTTCTTATGAGGTCTCTATCATTGGCTTGTTGGTGGCTATCTTCTCCTTCTGTCTTCATGTGGTCTTCCCTCTGTGCATGTCTGTGTCCTAATCTCCTCACTTATGAAGACACTAGTCATATTGAATGGGGGCCCACCCATATGACTTCATATTACTTTATCTTTTGAAAGACCTTATCTCCAAATGAGGTCCTATTCTGAGGTACTCTGGGTTGTGACTTCAACATATGAATTTTGTAGGGACACAATTCAGTCCGTGAAAAACTGTATAGGCTGAAAGGATGGTGGGGATGCAGAAAAGTTTATAGAGGAGAAGTAGAAAGGTGAGAAGTTTCTGCTTACTAATCTCCATCTTCTTTGTATTAAGAGCAGCTGTTGTCTGCGGAAGATGAGGTGAATTTGCAGACCGAGGAAAGTATAGGAGATTTTGAATTGCCCAGGCCTTTATACCTGCAATCCCTTCTTTCCAGAATGTTCATTCCCAGATGTACAATGGCTTGTTACACCAAATAATTTAAGTTTTTACTTAAATATTACCTCTTCAAGGAGGCCTTCCTGACTATTTTATCTAAAATGATCCCCTCAATCCTCCAAACCTTTAACCTGAAGCAGTTTTAATTTGGCATAGCAATGAATTCCCAAAATGATACAATCTGTTTACTTGGTTAAAAAATACAACATACTGGGATATATTCTATTTCGCCTTAATGTTTCTCTTAATGCAAGTTTCATGATGGGAGATCTATGTCTTATTTATTTCTGTATCAAATGGTGCCTAGGCTATTTTAGGAATGCAATAATTATTATTATAAGATAATCAACAAATCCATTGAGCTAAAAGATACTGAAGCTCTTAATGTTATCAAATTGTATGGTTGATCAACATCTTTTACCTACCTAAGTTTAATTAGAAAAAATCTGTAATTTCATCCTAATGAAGTATGTTCTTCCTGTTTTTCTTTCAACACTTAGAAACAGCTACAACAATTTTATTGTTCTATTAAGATTCTGACTACATGTGGGAGATTAGATAATTTTGGTATTTTTCATACCATTTATTAGCAAAAATAGACATTTATATGTATATAAAAGAAACTTTAAAGGGTGGGATTTAGCTCTAAAGGAGTATATCTGCAAAGCAAACCATTCTTCCTATATAAACACCCACACACATTCACACACATACACATAATGAAAGATTATAAAGAACACAGAAGACAAGCTTTCTTTGTATTGAAATCAAAATTAACTCTTAATACAGACCTTTGCATGAATTATAACTTTTCTGAGATAAAAGTTTAAAGTAAATGTTTTTAACATTGTAATAAATATCAGAGCTTGGTGGTGGTTTCATGAAAATGTAATATTACCTGTACACTTTCCTATATGTTTAAGATTTTTTTTTTTTTTTGAGATAGAGTTTTGCTCTGTTTCCCAGGCTGAAGTGCAACGGCATGATCTCGGCTCACTACAGCCTCTGCCTCCCGGGTTCAAGCAATTCTCCTGCCTCAGCCTCCTGAGTAGCTGGGATTACAGGCACCCGCCACCACACCCAGATAATTTTTGTGTTTTTAATAGAGACAAGGTTTCACCATGTTGGCCAGGCTGGTCTTGAACTCCTGACCTCAGGTGATCTGCCTGCTTCAGCCTCCCAAAGTGCTGGGATTACAGGCATGTGCCACCGTGCCCAGCCCAAAATATCTTTTTAGGACAAACAATTAAGTATATGATACTTTTAAGTTCTAGCTTCATGGGATGAACGAATTGGATTATATGTTAGAGATATGTCAATTTCTCAAGACCAATACCTGAAAAATTCAAAATATCCAGCCCACATTTGCTTCATTTAACTATAGTTGTGATATCCCAAAGAAAAAAAGAAAGCTCTTAAAAAATATTAAGACCAAGAATGATGACAACCCTGGCCATTCTTTAACATGACAGCCAACTTCTCTCATCCATTCCAAACACATCTTCCTACACACATGCACTCTAGTTTCCCCTACAGAGAACCATATTGCATGGCTAAACCAATAACAGGTCAGCTTCTGGTAGCATCCAATTCTAGTAAAGAACATGGGATTTTTGAGTCAAGAAATTCAACTTCCCCTGGCTAGCTATGTGACCTTAGTCACTTTTTTTAGTCTTTTTGTGCTTCAATTCTCTCATTAATAAATTGAAATTATTTAGAAAAATATGTTTTTTGCAACCCAGTAAATTTTTTCCATAAGTCAGTGTGGATTGAGGCTCACAGTTTGTAAAGTGCTGTTCTATTCTTATGTTTGAACATTTAGTATTTTTAACTTTTTTTGCTATAAAAACATTTGATAAACATGACTATTCATAATGAAACATATGTATAATTATAAAGAGTTATGATTATACATAAGTATGGGTCTCGGGTTTCCTTATGTATATAAGGATCCTATAACAATGGATACCAACAGGGTTAAGTTTCTTGATAAATATTGCCATAATTCTTATAAAACTGTATGTCACATTTTCTAAATAAATTAATCTTTTTTACAATTGCACATATTTATGGGATATTTCAATACACATATAATATATAATAATCAAATCAGGGTAATTAACATATATATCTACCCCCCCAGACATTTTTTATTTATTTAATGGGAACATTCCAAATTCCTCTCTTTTAGCTATTTGAAATTATACAACGAATTATTGTTGACTATAGACACCACACAGAGCTACAGAACACTAGACTGTAATACTCCTGTCTAGCTGTAACTTGTATCTGTTAGTCAACTATCCCTATTCTCTCTCCCCTCTACCCTTCTTAGCCTCTACAAACCACCAATCTACTCTCTACTTCTGTGAGCTCAATTATTTTAGCCCCCACATAGAGTGAGAACATGAAGTAATAGTCTTTTTGTTCTTGTATTTCCATGTCTCTTGAGTTAAAACATGTAAGTCCTCATCCCTGAGTTTGATTTCTGGATCACCAATAAGATCAATATTTTATATCTAAAAGATTAAAGATCACACCCTGGGTTTCTGCAAATTACCAAAATAAAAGCCTCTTTGTCATTCCTCTCTGACAACTAGTCAGTCTCCACACATTTCTGGGAACTTGGGCTATCACCAGGCACCATCGGTATAGATAGAAAAAGAGCATATATAAATGCTTTTACTAACTTGATAATAGAGTTGTTGTGAGGCCTTAAGATTGTCACTTAATATGATTACTCCAATCATTTTTCAGTTTTCCATATATAAAAAAAAGCCAAAAAACTTCAGTAGAAGTGGATTGCCATAAGCACAGGATCTTTACTGAACTTTACTTTTTACAGTAAGAAAGATCACCGTAAGTGAAACCTCATCTCTACTAAAAATACAAAAATTAGCCAGGCACAGTGGCAGGTGCCTGTAATCCCAGCTACTTGTGAGGCTGAGGCAGGAGAATTGCTTGGACTCGGGTGGCAAAGGTTGCAGCGAGCCAAGACCGTGCCACTGCACTCCAGCCTGGGCAATAGAGTGAGATTTCGTCAAAAAAAAAAAAAAGAAGAAAGATCACCATAAGTATCTAGTATGTGACTGGATCTTTGGTGGGACTAAACTTGTGAAAAGTGTGTGTGTTGCTGTATCCTTTATGTAACACAAACAAGAATTAGAAAATTAATGAGAAGCCATCCATAAACTATTATTCCAAATTGCATGGGGAGAGATAATAGGAAAAATGTTAACAAAAAAATGCCATTTTTTGTTAGTTGCTTTTGTTTTGTTTTATGCCTGTTAAGATTGGGCATCATTTGAATAACCAAGTTCAAAAAGGAGAACAATATGTTACGCACCACTTCCCTGAGTCAGGCCCCTTTTTACACAATTCCTCATTTTATTCTAGTAGCAATTCTAGGAAGTTGGTATTATCATGCCTTCTTTATAGATAAGAAAACTGAGACACAAACATATTAATTTACTTTCCTGTGACCATACAGCTAAACCAATGGTTATATAGCATTCAAACCCTGTTCTGTTGAACTGCAAAATCCACATTCTGTTCATTAAACAAGTGAGAAAATTGATTTCAGATAACCCAAAACGCAGTACACATTATTGTTTCTCTTACAAAAGTTTCAATGATATGACCAAGAATGAGGCTGAAATAAATGTTATCTCCAAATTCCATTTGAATGTTTCCATTTTGACTCCTTAGTGGAAAACATCACCTATCCTATTGTATAATTCCTCAGTCTAGATAATTGAGGGTTCTATTAAATGCTCTACTAAATAGCAAATCTTTTCTTACATAAAGCTTAATTTCTTTCACTTAATTGTACTTGGTGATAAAATTTATATTCAATTCATGTATCTTCAGTGCCTAGTCAATTATTATGGTGCTGTCAGAGCATCTCTATTTTTATAACAATTTCCTAAGTGCAGCATTTAGCAGTGTGGTGGGCTAAATAGTGATTCCAACAGTATATGTCGAGGTTCTAATCCTGGTAACTACAAGTATGACTTTATTTAGAAATAGTGTCTTTGCAGATATAATTAAGTTTAGGATATCACAACAGGATCATATTCAATTTGGAGTGAGCCCTAAATCCAATGACTGATCCTTAGGAAAGAAAGAAGAGGGAGATTGGTCACAGAGAAAGGATGATGTGAATGAAGATGGAGACAAGTATTAGAGGGATGCATCTGCATGCAAAAGAATGTCAAGGATTTTCAGCAACCATAGAAGCTAGGAGAAAGGCATCAAATGGACTTTCTTGGGGCCTCCAGAAAAATATCAACCCTGGTGACAACTTGATTTTAGACTTCTGGCCTCCTGGACTATGAGAAAATAAATTTCTGTTGTTTTAAATGACCAACTTTGTGGTAATTTGTCGTGGTTTCCGTAGGAAACAAATACAGGCAGATTTAAATTACTTTTTAAGGCAGAAAAATACATTTATCTTAGCTACTTGCCTCAATTCATTCAAGAATGCATCTGAAATGATTTCTTTATATGAATTGGGAGTTCAGATTAGTAAAAGTTTCACAAGTGACTTTCTTGTTGAGAAAAGTAAATCTCAGACAAATAGAACAAATCTTATGATGTAATTACAGGATCTTACAGACCTGCAACTACAATTTTCAATAACAAAATCAGGGCAAATGGAGGACTCAGTGATAAATTCATAATAAACCTAGTATCTCTTCGTAAATTTTAAAGAAAATTATTAACATTAGAAACAATAATATTAGAACATTTATTATGTTGGTAGTTCTTTGCATTTATTATCTAATTAATCCTTGCAAAAACCTTATAAGACCGTGCTGTCATTTTCCCTGATGTTTCCATGAAGAAACTAAAGTGAGGTTAAGAAATTAGTTCAAGCTATACAGCTAGAAAGTAATGAATCTCAAATGCAAACCTAGGTAGTTTTTTCTTAACCTCAATTATTTTATCCATTTTATGTCATCTGAGCCACTTTACTTCTGAGAATGTGGAAAGTGCAAACACCAATTACCCAAGAAAATATTCTAAAAAGAATGATTCAAAGATGGAACTGAATAAATAAAAGAATGCCAAAGACATAAAATGCCATATGCATTTACACTTACATGAACTGAAACAGGGACCCAATGCATCTTGCTAGCAGACTGAAACTAAGTGTATGACTTAAAACATTTCATAAATGTTTCATTGGACTTTTTTATGCCATGTAAAATTTTCTTCCTACTGTGTAAAATGCTGGGAGTCTATGCCAATACAGCCTGAAAATAGAGTCATTGGAGGCTTTACAACAAATCCCTCCAGTGGTGGTGACTGGCACTTAGCCTGCCTCTAGATGCATCCTTTATGTGTGATCACTAAAGATGAGAAAGGTAATGGAAGAAGCAGTTATCAGACCAAACGCTAATCTGAAACCAGCTAAGAATAAAAAGTTATCTTTAGTTATCTATGTTAACCAGAGTGTTCCCTAATTTAGATTAGATAGTGCTTTACAAAATGTGCTGGGAGAAAGGGAGAGATAATGGCAAAGTTATAAACCTCTAAATTGTCGTAAGATTGTTTTACGTTTAAGAACATATGAATTTACTAACTTGATAATAGAGTTGTTGTGAGGCCTTAAGATTGTCACTTAATATGATTACTCCAATCATTTTTCAGTTTTCCATATATAAAAAAAGCCAAAATTCCTTCCACCGTGTTGACTCCTTCATTTATCTCTTAACCATTAAGCAGGGAAAATCTTGAACCCATGGAACAGCTATGAACTGCTAGGTAATTTGAATGTGTTATGTGTAGAATTTAGTGATTTTTTCTATTATCTCTTTTTCTATAATCTCCCATACTTTTTTTTTTTTTTTTTTTTTTTTGAGACAGTCTCACTCTGTCGCCCAGGCTGGAGTGCAGTGGCACGTTCTGGGCTCACTGCAAGCTATGCCTCCCAGGTTCACGCCATTCTCCTGCCTCAGCCTCCCGAGTAGAGTAGCTGGGACTACAGGTGCCCACTACCACGCCTGGTTAATTTTTTGTACTTTTAGTAGAGACAGGGTTTCACCGTGTTATCCAGGATGGTCTCGATCTCTTGCCCTCGTGATCCACCTGCCTCAGCCTCCCAAAGTGCTGGGATTACAGGCGTGAGCCACCACGCCCAGCCAATCTCCCATACTTTCATAAAGCTAAATTTTCTAGAATTTAGATCTGAAGACACTAACTTCTTTAAAATCATTCTTTTTTATGTATTTATGAGATCATGTTCAGTCTCTTTAGAGGAATGGTAAATCATGTAAGATCTGAAATCAGAGACAGTATGTTTGAATCACAACTCCACACTCACCAACTGGGTAGCTTTGTGCAAATCAACCTGTTTAAGCCTCAGTATCTATATCTGAAAAATGGGGTCCTAATACTACTGAGCGTGCTGGCAGCCCTTGCTCACTCTTGGCACCTCCTCAGCCTCGGTGTCCACTCTGGCCGCACCTGAGGAGCCCTTCAGCCCGCGGCTGCACTGCGGGAGCCCCTTTCTGGGCTGGCCGAGGCCGGACCTGACTCCCTCCGCTTGCCGGGAGATGTGGAGGGAGAGGTGCAGGCGGGAACCGGCGCTGCACGCAGCACTCGCGGGCCAACACGAGTTCCAGGTGGGCGCAGGCTCGGTGTGCCCCGCATTCAGAGTGGCCAGCTGGTGCTGCTGGCCCTGGGCAGTGAGGGGCTTACCACCCGGGCCAGCAGCTGCGGAGGGTGCGCTGGGTCCCCCAGCACTGCCGGCCCACCTTCACCATGCTCGAAATCTCCCCGGGCCTCAGCTGCTGCCTCGCGGGGCAGGACTCGGGACCTGCAGCCCGCCATGCTGGACAACCTTCCCTCTGCCACTGTGGGCTTGCGTGCGGCCTGAGCCTCTCTGACGGGTGCCACCCCCTGCTCCCCCGCGCCCGCTCCCATGGACCATCCAAGGGCTGAGGAGTGCAGGTATGCCCTGTGGGACTGGCAGCAGCTCCACCCACGGCCCTGGCACAGGATCCACCAGGTGAAGCCAGCTGGGCTCCTGAGTCAGGCGGGGTCTTGGAAAACTTTTATGTCTAGCTGGAGGATTATATATGCACCAGTCAGCACTCTGTGTCTAGCTCAAGGTTTGTAAACGTACCAATCAGCACCCTGTCAAAACGGACCAATCAGCTCTCTGTAAAATGGACCAATCAGCTCTCTGTAAAATGGACCAATCAGCAGGAGGTGAGTGGGGCCAGATAAGGGAATAAAAGCAGGCTGTGGGAGCCAGCACGGGTAACCTGCCCGGGTAGTGTACACGCTGTGGAAGCTTTGTTCTTTTCCTCTTCACAATAAATCTTGCTGCTGCTCACTCTTTGGGTCCCTGTCGCCTTTAAGAGCTGTAACATGAACTGCAAAGTTCTGCAGCTTCACTCCTGAAGCCAAGAAGACCACGAACCCACTGGGAGAAAGGAACAACTCTGGACGCACCACCTTTATGAGCTGTAACACTCATTGTGAAGGTCTGCAGCTTTACTCTTGAGGCCAACGAGACCACAAACCCACCAGAAGGAATAAACTCCAGACACATCTGAATATCCGAAGGGCCAAACTCTGGACGCGCCATCTTTCAGCACTGTAACACTCACCGTGAGGGTCCGCAGCTTCGTTCCTGAAAACAGCGAGACCAAGAACCCACCAATTCCGGACGCACTACCTACTGCATATGGTTGTGTTTATAATCAATAGGGTAACAATATGCTCACTTCTTAGCTTAAGTACTTGTGTAGTCAATACTCAAGTTAGTGGCAGTAGTTTTTCATTATTGTCATTGATATTACACATTATTCACCATGTGGCCTCATCACGTCTTTACAACTAAACTTTTTTTATTATTCATCTTCATCTGCAATTTCAAGACAAGCCATCCAGTTTCATTGTTTTTGGTTTTGTATGCTACGTTTGCCTAAAACTTTCTTCCTCACACCTTTCATACCATTACATGTGTTTACACAGTGAACTCCTGACGCATCTTTTAAGATCCAATTCAATTATTACATCCTCTGGGAAAACTTGAGGAAGTCGAGTTCCTGGCTCCTTGAGTTGTGCTAGTACAGAACTTGGAAGTATTTCTCTCCTAGCACATCTCTTGCAGAATCATAAGACATTTTGTGGGAGTCTGTCCCTTCCAATATTGAAGAATCTGTCCCTCTTGCTAAACTAAAGCAAGTAATTAGTCATATTTATCTTTTCTAATACCTGGAACATTTCCTAGAACATTTGGATCTTAAGTGAACATTTAGTGAATGAAAATAAATTCACTAATTTGTGTTATGTCAAAGTCCATTTTGGTACTAGCTTTGACTCCAATAATGGCGGAGTGGTTTCTATCAGACTAATTCTCCCAGTAAGAACAACTATAAACATTGAACCAAACATTTTTAAAAAACACCAACCAAGTGAAGGCATTAGTAAATGCCCAAAGGCAGGCTAGAATTGGAGGCAATTTAATCTAGAAAGAAATTACACCGGGAGAACATCTCTGTTTATGTGACTTGTTCCCTGGGGCATGTCTGTCTGTGTGGTATGGGGCAGTTTAAACGCAAGCAGAAAGCCAAGTCTTACTGGCTTGAAATCTTAGAGGACAGCTTTAAGGGCTACTAGTGCAGCTGGAAATTGAAGGGAAAAATGCCATACAGGAGGTAAGAACAGAGGGGCAAGCCCTGAAATCTCAAACTTTGGCTAACTTCTAAATTGTTATACAATAGGATAGACTATAACAACCCAGCAAAAAAGAACATCTGCAATCCGAGAAAGATGAGCAGATATTTCAGCTGACTTACACAACAAGAGAACAAGGCTAACAGCAAACCCAAAACAGATCATGCTAATAAAATCAATCTTCCACATGTTCAGCATGATCTACCTTTAATTTAACTGCCAACCAGACGAAAATTAACATTCTTTGGAGAAAGATAATAGAATTCACACTGTCTATAAAACATATAATCCACAATACTCAATATATAATAGAATATTACTAGACATGTAAAGAAACAGGAAAATGTGACCGATAGTTAAGGGAAGAAAAGAATAATAATCAAAATAGACCCAAACTGAAAGCAAGCTGCAATATATTTTATTTGTAGGTAATTTTCTATTTTAAGCCAGGGAATAAATATTACCACAGGTACAAAGAGACACTATAATAATAAAGGGTCAACCTCATCGAGAAGACATAATAATCCTAAATGGATATGCACCTAGTCACAGAGCTTTAAGATACCTACAACAAAAACTGACAGCCCTACAGGGAGAAATAAACATACCTATGCTATAAATGAGGTATTTTAACATTCCAAGTAATTGATAAAATACTATACAAAAATATCAGTAGGAATAAAGAAGATTTGATTAACACTATTAACTGTCTTTATCTAATTGACATTTAGAGACCATTACACCCAACAACCACAGGATACACATTCTTTCCATATGTTGATGGCACATTTGTCAAGATAGTTCATGTGCAGAACTATATGTCTTAATATATTTCAAAATAGTAAACCTTATAGAATATGTTATGTGATGGCAAGAGAATTAACTCAGAAGTCAAGAACTAAAAGATACCTGGAAAACTTCTAAATATTTACAAATTAATCCACATACTATTAAATAACCAATAATCAAGGAACAAATCACAACATAAATTAGAAAGTATTTTGAATGAAATACAATTAAAATGAAACGTATTGAACTACACAAAATGTAGCTAAAGCAGTAAAGAGATGGAAAATTATAGTTTTAAGTGTGAATATTAGAAAAAAGGAAGGTTTAAACCAAAGTACAATATTATAACCACTCTCTTCTAAACATGTTCAACTTGCTTCCTTCTGATTTCATTGTACTTTCTAGGATAAACTCTATCTCAATTGAACCTAGAATTCTAAGATTCCTAGTTTCTTCAACTCTGTTTTAAGGATAAACAACACTGAAATTGATACGAGAGGTTATAGGAACACACATCCACACCTATTGTTCTATTTTCCTTCATACCATTCATCCATAATATTACTTGTGTGTGTGTACATACACACACACAAATATACATATATATTTTTCAAGATAAGGAATAAGCTGTTTTTACCATTGTGGTTAATATGAAAGTCCTTATGATGGTTAATGTTTCTTGCCTTATATTTGAATATTTTTATATCATTTGTAATTTGTAAGCTCTACTTTCTTCTATATCTTGTGTAACTGGTCCAGGGAAAGACAGACTTTAGTATTTGGATCTTCCCTCAGTTGGGTAGTCTGTTATTACTTTCTTCTAAAAAAAAGTACCAGATAATAAAAATATAATTATATATTTAGTCTCAGGTTTTTAGAGCATGTCGGACTCATGCTTTGCTGTATTCACAAATGCAGGCTGAATTCAATAAAAATCACAATAGCGTAGCAAAGGAGTTGATAACGCAATTACCTAGCAGACAGGAGTCTCAAGATAGTGGGTGAAAATGTTCACTCATTTATTTCTGACATCTCCTTTTACAAATAGCCAAAATCAATATTTTAGTAGCTTTAAATTTAGACAAATGTTTTCAAAGTAAATAAATTGAGCCATTTATGATGACAATTGTATATTTGTAATAGGAAGCTCTATACTCATTCATGTCTGGGGACTCATGATATATCTATTATAAATCTATGAAACATGATTTTAAAGTTTTGAGTGAAATATTCTTATGAATTTAGAGCTCTATAAATGTATTTTTCCTTTGTCACTCTATAGTTATGCTGTAAGAAAGATTCTAGTGTATAAAATTTTGCTTGAAAATTATTATCACAGAGCAAAAAAAATGTAATTTATTAATTTACCAGATATTTTCTTCATTTGGATATATAGGTTTTTTTGTTGTTGCTGTTAGTCAGGTAGCCTCTTAGTTAAAGGTAGTATTCAAATTATACAGGATTGCATGCTGTTTACTGTCTTATATGTGCATCTCTGGGCTGGTGCTTGATGAACACCACTGTTCTTTTGTAAAGAATTGACTAAATTTTTAAAATTTCATTGTAATTTTGATTAGATATCCACTCTCACTGACTAGTATCATCTGTTTTTCCAAGTCCTTAATACTTGTCTTCCAAATTCAACTTCATCAATATCCACAAACTACTGGCCCAATTGTGCCCACTAACTCTTGCCCCCTCCATGCTCTTTCTTCATTCCTTACTCTAATACCAGCAGAGTCCATAATGATAATCACACTTTTGAATATAGCCTTCATCCCCTTTTTCCTCTGTCTCCTTTGAATATATTTGACAAAACATGACAACTCAAGTTAAACCCCAAATACAATCTAATCTATGCCTGGACTCCAATACATAAATACAAATGGAGAAAAAACAACCTTACTACCTGGATTCATGTTAAGTTTTTGACCATACAGTTAGAGAGAAAGAACAGGTAACCTATGAGAGGAAGCCCATCAGACTAATAGCACACTTCTCAGCAGAAACCACACAAGCCAGAAGAGATTGGGGACTAACATTCAACATTCTTAAAGAAAAGAAATTCCAACCCAGAATTTCATGTCTGGCCAAAATAAGCTTCATAAGCAAAAAAGAAATAAGATACTTTTCAGACAAGCAAATGCTGAGGGAATTTGTTAGCACCAGACTTATTTTACAAGAGCTCCTGAAAGAAGCAATAAATATGGAAAGGAAAGACTGTTACCAGGCACTACAAAACCACACTTAAGTACACAGACCAGTGACACTATAAAGTGATAAAAAATCCAGCTGGGCGCAGTGGCTCACGCCTGTAATCCCAGCACTTTGGGAGGTTGAGGGGGGCGGATCATGAGGTCAAGAGATCAAGACCATCCTGACTAACATTGTGAAACCCCGTCTCTACTAAAAATACAAAAAAATTAGCCAGGTGTGGTGGCGGGCACCTGTAGTCCCAGCTACTCGGGCGGCTGAGGCAGGAGAATCACTTGAATCTGGGAGGCGGAGGTTGCAGTGAGCAGAGATCACGCCACTGCACTCCAGCCTAGGTGACAGAGAGAGATTCTGTCTCAAAAAAAAAAAAAAAAAAAAAAAACCCCGAAGTCCCAAGTCAGCATAATAACCAGCCAATGATATGATGACTGGATCAAATCCATACATATGAATACTAACCCTGAATGTAAACGGGCTAAATGCCTCAATTAAAAGGCACAGAGTGGCAAGCTGAATAAAGAAGCAAGACCCAATAGTATGTTGGGTTTGAGCGACCCATCTCATCACATGAAATGATACCCAAGGACTCAAAATGAAGAGATGGAAAAAAATCTATGAAGCAAATTGAAAACAGAAAAAAGCAGGATTGGCCTAATTTCAGACAAAACAGACTTTAAATCAACAAAGATCAGAAAAGACAAAGAAGGGTATTACGGAATGGTAATGAGTTCAGTTCAACCAGAAGATCTAACTATGCTAAATATACATGTGCCCAACACAGGAGCACCCCGATTCATAAAGCACGTTCTTAGTGACCTTCAAAGAGACTTAGACTCCCACACAATAATAGTGGAAGACTTCAACACCACCACACTGACAATATTAGACAGATCATTGAGGAAGAAAATTAACAAAGATATTCAGAACCTGAACTCAACATTGGATCAAATGTACCTGATAGACATCTACAGAACTCTCTACCCGAAAACAACACAATATACATTCTTCTCAGCACCATATGACACGTACTTTAAAATCAATCATCCAATCGAACAATCCTTAGCAAATGCAAAAGAACCAAAATCATATGAACCACTGTCTCAAATCACGGCACAATAAAAATAGAATTCAAGACTAAGAAAATCACTCAAAATCATATGATTACATGGAAATTAAACAACCTGCTCCTGAATGACTTTTGAGTATATAAGGAAATTAAGGCAGAAATCAAGGAGTTACTTGAAACTAATGAGAATAAATTATAACATACTAGAATCTCTGGGACACAGCTAAGACAGTTGTATTAGGGTTCTCTAAAGGCACAGAACTAATAGGATATATGTATATATGAAAGGGAGTTTGTTAAGAATTAACTCACACGATCACAAGGTAAATCCCACGATAGGCCACCTGCAAGCTGAGGAGCAAGGAACCCAGTAATGGTTCCATCCAAGTCCCAAAGCCTCAAAAGTAGGGAAGCCAACGGTGCAGCCTTCAGTCTGTGGCCAAAGGCCCAAGGTCCCCTGGTAAACAACTGGTATAAGTCCAAATGTCCCAAAGCCGAAGAACCTGGAGTCTGATATTCGAGGGCAGGAAGCATTCAGCACAGGAGAAAGATGGAAACCCAAAGACTCAGCATGCCAGCTTATTCCACCTTCTTCCATCTGCTTTTTTTTTAAAGCTACACTGGCCGCAGGTAAGATGGTGCACACCCACATTGAGGCTGGGTCTTCTCCCAGTCCACGGAATCAAATTTTTTTTTAAGACACAGTGTGGCTATGTCATCCAGGCTGGAGTGCAGTGGCGCCATCTGGGCTCACTGCAAGCTCCGCCTCCTGGGTTCACACCATTCTCCTGCCTCAGCCTCCAAGTAGCTGGGACCACAGGCGCATGCCGCCACGCCTGGCTAATTCTTTCTATTTTTAGTAGAGACGGGGTTTCACCATGTTAGCCAGGATGGTCTCAATCTCCTGTCCTGGTGATTCACCCACCTCGGCCTCACCTCCCAAAGTGCTGGCATTACAGGCATAAGTCACTGCATCTGTCTTTTTTTTTTTTTTTTTTTTGAGACGGAGTCTCGTTCTGTCGCCCAGGCTGGAGTGCAGTGGCACAGACTCGGCTCACTGCAAGCTCCGCCTCCTGGGTTCACGCCATTCTCCTGCCTCAGCCTCCTCAGTAGCTGGGACTACATGTGCCCGCCACCACGCCTGGCTTTTTTTGTATTTTTAGTAGAGACGGGGTTTCACCGTGTTCGCCAGGATGGTCTCCATCTCCTGACATCGTGATCTGCCCGCCTTGGCCTCCCAAAGTGCTGGGATTACAGGCGTGAGCCACCACGTCCAGCCTTTTTTTTTTTTTTTCCTAAGATGGAGTCTTACTCTGTAGCCTAGGCTGGAGTGCAGTGGCGCGATCTCGGCCCACAGCAACCTCCGCCTCCCGGATTCAAGTGATTCTCCTGCCTCAGCCTCCTGAGTAGCTGAGACTACAGGCGCATGCCACCACACCCAGCTAATTTTTTACATTTTTAGTAGAGACGGAGTTTTGCCTTTTTAGGCAGGATGGTCTCAATCACCTGACCTCGTGATCTACCTACCTTGGCCTCCCAAAGTGCTGGGATTACGGGCATGAGCCACTGCCCCCAGTCTGAATCAAATGTTAATCTCCTCTGGCAATACCCTCACAGACACACCCAGAAACAATACTTTGTGTCCTTTAATCCGATCAAATTGACATTTAACATTAACCATCACAGCAGTGTTAAAGCAGAAATGTATATAACTAAACCCCCACATCAAAAAATTAGAAAGATCTCAAATTAACAATCTAACTTCACAACTAAAAGAACTAGAGAAACGAAAGCAAACCAACCCCAAAGCTAGTAGAAGACAAGAAATAACCAAAATCAGAGCTGAACTGAAGAAAATTGAGACATGAGAAACCATTCAAAAGATCAACAAAGCCAGGAGCTTGTTTTTTGAAAAAAATTAATAAGACCACTAGCTAGACTAATAAAGAAGAAAAGAGAAAAGATCCAAATAAACACAATTAGAAATGACAAAGGGGATATTACCGCTGACGCCACAAAAATACAAATAACCATCACAGACTATGAACACCTCTATGCACAGAAACTAGAAATTCTAGAAGAAATGGATAAATTCCTGTACAAATACATCCTCCCATACTGAACCAGGAGGAAATTGGATCCCTGAACAGACCAATAATGAGCTCTAAAATGGAATCAGTAATAAATAGCCTACTACCAACCAAAAAAAGCCCAGGACCAGACTGATTCACAGCTGAATTCTACCAGATGTACAAAGAATAGCTGGTACCATTTCTACTGAAGCTATTCAAAAAAACTGAGGAGGAGAGACTCCTCCCTAACTCATTCTATGAGGCCAGCATCATACTAATACCAAAACATGTCAGAGACAAAACAGCAGAAAAGAAAACTTCAGGCCAATATCCTTGATCAACATTGATGCAAAAATCCTCAACAAAATACTAGCAAACTGAATCCAGCAGCACATCAAAAAGCTAATTAACTATGATCAAGTAGGCTTTATTCCTGGGATGTAGGTTTGGTTCAACATATGCAAATCAATAAATGTGATTCATCACATAAACAGAACTAAAGATAAAAACCACATAATTATCTCCATAGATACAGAACAGGCTTTTGATAAAATTCAATATCCCTTCATGTTAAAAACTCTAAAAAAAAAAACACTCAGTATTGTGGGAACATACCTCAAAATAAATAAGAACCACCTACGACAAACCCACAGCCAACATCATACTGAATGGGCAAAAGCTAGAGCATTCCCCTTGAAAACTGGAATAAGACAAGGGTGACTTCTCTCTCCACTCCTATTCAACACAGTATTAGAAATCGTGGCCAGGGCAATCAGGCAAGAGAAAAAATCAAAGGGCATCCAAGTAAAAAGAGAGGAATCAAAGTATCCCTGTTTGGAGATGGCATAATTCTTTATGTAGAAAACTCTATAGTCTCAGCACAAAAGCTTCTTAAGCTGATAAACAACCTCAGCAAAGTTTCAGAATACAAAATCGATGTACAAAAATCATTATCATACCTATAAACCAATATCAACCAAGTCGAGAGCCAAATCTGGAATGCAATCCCATTCACAATTGCCACAAAAAGAATAAAATACCTAGGAATAGAGCTAACCAGTGAAAGTTCTCTACAGTGAGAATTACAAACGCTGCTCAAAGAAATCAGAGATGACACAAACAAATAGAAAAACATTCCATGCTTATGGATAGAAATAATTGATATTGCTACAATGGCCATACAGCCCAAAGCAATTTACAGATTCAATGCTATTCCTATCAAACTACAAATGACATTTTTCACAGAACTAGAAAAAACTATTGTAAAATTCATATGGAAACAAAAAAGAGCCCAAATAGCCGAGGCAATTCTAAGCAAAAGAAATAAAGCAGGAGGCATCACACTATCCAACTTCAAACTATACTATAGGGTTACAGTAAACAAACAGCATGGTACTGGTACAGAAAAACACATAGACCAATGGAACAGAAAATAAAACCCAGAAATAAGGCCACATATGTATAACCATCTGATCTTTGACAAAGCTGGCAAAACAAGCAACAGGGAAAGGATTCCCTATTCAATAAATGGTGCTGGCACAACTGGCTAGCTGTATGTAGGAGATTGAAACTGGACCCCTTTCTTACACCATATACAAAAATCAACTCAAGATGGATTAAAGATTTAAATGTGAAACCCAAAACTTTAAAAACTCTCAAAGACAACCCACGCTATACAATTCTGGACACAGGAACTGGGAAAGATTTCATGATGAAGATGTCAAAAGGAATTGCAAGAAAAGCAAAAGCTGGCAACTGGGATCTAATTAACCTAAAGAGCTTCTACACAGCAAAAGAAATTACCAACAGAGTGAACAGAACTGACAGAATAGGAAAAAATATTTGCAAATATTTGCAAACTATGCATCTGACAAAGGTCTAATATCCAGGACCTATAACGAACTTAAACAAGTTTACAAGAAAAAAACCAAATGACTCCATTAAAAAGTGAGCGACGGACGTGAACAGACACTTTTCAAAAGAAGACATACATGCAGCCAACAAACATATGAAAAAAAGCTCAATATGACTGATCATTAGAGAAATGCACATCAAAATTATAATGAGATACCATCTCACCAGTCAGAGTGGTTATTACTAAAAGTAAAAAAAAAAAATGATAGATGCTGGCAAGGTTGAGGAGAAAAGGAAATACTTATACAATGTGTTGGAAGTATAAATTAGTTCAACCATTGTGAAAGCAATGTGGTGATTCCTCAAAGAGCTAAAAACAGAACTAGTTTTTGACCCAACAATCCCATCACTGAGTATATATGCAAAGGAATATAAACCATTCTGTCATGAAGACACATGTTCCCATGTTCACTGCAGCACTATTCACAGTAGCAAAGACATGGAATCAACCTAAATGCTCATCAATGGTAGACTGGATAAAGAAAATGTGGAACATATACACCATGGAATACTATGCAGCCATAAAAAGGAACAAGATCATGTCCTTTGCAGGAACATGGATATGTCTTGGAGGCCATCATCCTAAGCAAATTAACGCAGGAACACAAAACTAAATAATGCATATTCTCACTTATAAGTGAGAGCTTAACAATGAGAACAGACAGACACAAAGAGGGGAACAATAGACACTGCGGCATACCTGAGGGTTGAAGATGGGAAGGAGGGAGAGGAGCAGAAAAAATAACTATCAGGTACTAGGCTTTGTACATGAATAAAAAAATGATTTCTAGAATAAACCCACCGAGTTTACCTACATAACAAACCAGCACATGTACTCTGAACCTAAAATAAAGTTAAAATAAAGAAAAAGAGAACGATAATTTCAAAAATGTTTTTTTCTTGACCATAGATTTCAAGAGCGCACCTAGCACTACCTAGCCATTATTCTACATCTCACCATTAAATTTACTTTCTCACTATTCAAAATAATAATGTAACATTAAACCTCCAAAAAACTGTTTCTTTTTCAGCCTGTGACCTAAATTTCTGTTTACTGAGAAAAACCAATCAGACAAATTTCACCTCATTTTTCAGGACCAAATATATATAATTTATATACTCTTTTTACTTCTGGTTTAAGAAATGACTCTGTTTAAAATTAACTCCCTATTTGGACACTAGATCTTACATCCTCTAATTTTCTTTTTCTTTTTTTTTTTTTTCTGAGACGGAGTCTCGCTCTGTCTCCCCGGCTGGATGGAGTGCAGTGGCATGATCTCGGCTCACTGCAAGCTCTGCCTCCCGGGTTCATGCCATTCTCCTGCCTCAGCCTCCCGAGTAGCTGGGACTACAGGCGCTCGCCACCATGCCTGGCTAATTTTTTTTTTTGTGTAGTTTTAGTAGAGACGGGGTTTCACCGTGTTAACCAGGATGGTCTTGATCTCCTGACCACGTGATCTGCGCGCCTCGGCCTCACAAAGTGCTGGGATTACAGGCGTGAGCCACCGCGCCCGGACTTCTAATTTTCTTAAGAACTTTATTCCCTCTATTTTTGGATCACCAATGCAGTTTTTCTTAAGCTTACATCCTCCTCTATCACTCCACATGTTTATCTCTCTATAAGAAGGCCTTTTTGAAAATGTTTTCTATATACTACTAGTATATCTCCCATTTACTCTTTAAATTACTACAACTTTGCTTTCCTCCTCACTTCTCTACTGATGTTACCCCAATGATCAGTAAATACTTCTTTATTGCCAATGCAATGGAAACTTCTCTGTTCTCATTTTACCTTCTGTTAAAAGTAACAGAGATGATGAAGTTCCCCCTGCTTAGGCTTTTAAAGCTTTTAACTTTCTTCGTGGTCATTTGGTCTTTTACTGGATAACCTTCCTCCCCCTTATCCTAAATACTGGAATGCTTTAGGGTTTGGTTTTGAACGTTGTTCTCTTCTCTAGCAATATTTTCTTCCTGGGTGGTTATATTTTCCTGAATTTAAACAGCACAATATACTATAACTCTAAAATGAATGTCTCTGTTTTTTTTTATCCTCTACACCAGATTCATACTTCTATCTGCTTACTTGACCTTTCCACTATGATATATAATAGGCATGGTTGGCTCTTGCTTATCTTTAAGATTCATTGTAAATGTTAAGTTTTGAGAGAAATCATTCTATGTAAAATGCTTTTTTCTTATCACCCTACTTTATTTATGAAAAGGTGCTTATCTCAATTTGAAATAAGTTTATGTATGTGTTCTTTTCTTTATTTGCTTACTGTCTTATCCTCTTGAAAGAATATATTCCTGTCAAGAGCAAATGTTTTTGTCAACCACATTTGCCACTGAACCTTCAGAATCTATGAGTATTTAACATACGGAAGGAACTCAGAAATACTTGTTCAAGGAACACTTTGGATAGCACATTCATGAGTTAAATTCTAGAATTCATCAGTTCGTCAATTCTAGTGAAAATTCTAGTGATTCAATAAGCTAAACCATCTCTAATAGATTTTAAATATTACAAAGATACAACTTGCCCATTTATCAGTATATACTATTGGTTTCAAAGTCCTATCTTTCCACATCTGATGTAGTATCATGAACTATTTGTAGGCATAAGTATAGATAGTTTTTACACTGCTTTCTGATATTTGTTTATTTGTTTAGGAATCATTGCTTTATTTGCCAAGATAACTATATTCTGTAAATTTTAACCTCTATTTTTATAGTGAAAGTAATTCTTTTTATGTATAGTTTGAATGGGATTGTATTAGATATCCACCAATAAAGGCAACTGAGGTAAAAGTTAGCTTTGCAAACACTTTTAAATTTGTACGTGAAGACTGCATAACAAATAAACTAATGGGAGTTTTCTGGAAAATTTACTTCTATTTGAATATATATTTTATATGGATAATTAAGTAAACAAATGTTGCCAAATGTATTCCCCAAAATATACATTTGCAATATGTAGAAATAGGCTTTTTCATTTAAAGTGCCTGGCTTTACAAATTAAAAAGACAATACAAGGTCATCATCAAAGGTCCTAAACCATAATATTCTCTCAAAATTTTAGGTATTATATTGCTCTATTTAATTCTACAAAGTGTATATTCCAGTTAAAATAGATGACTTTGATATTTTTGATGAGTCTAAATAAAATTAAGCAGATTCTAAGCAAATGTACTAATTACGTAGAAAACAATAACTAAATCTTCTGTGTTAATCATAGAGCAGATTTTGTGAGGTTTTAGGTATCATTTTCTTTTGTTTTATTTTCGCTCACTGATAACTAATTTGGCATCTACAAACTAAAATACCTGGTGAGAAATCACAATCTAAAAGTCAAGTGGTCATTGCTTACTAGAGGAAAATAAAAATATATTTAAAAGTATGAGATTCACAATATTGTGAAAATGATCATACTCCCAACGAAAATTGCAGATTCATTGCAATTTCCATCAAAATACCATCATAATTCTTCACAGAACTAGAAAAAAAATCCTAAAATTCATATGGAACCAAAAAGAGCCCACATAGCCAAAGCAAGACTAAGAAACAAGAACAAATCTGGAGGCACCACATTACCTGACTTCAAATTATACTGCAAGGCTATAGTTACCAAAACAGCACAGTACTGGTATAAATATAGGCACATAGACTGATGGAGCAGAATAGAGAACCCAGAAGTAAAGCTAAATACTTACAGCCAACCGATCTTTGACAAAGCAAACAAAAACATAAATTGGGGAAAGGACACTCTGTTCAATAAATGGTGCTGGGAAAATTGGCAAGCCACAGAAGAATGAAACTGGATCTTCATCCCTCATCTTATATAAAAATTACCTCAAGATGGATCCAAGATTTAAATCTAAAACCTGAGATCATAAAAACTCTGGAAGATAACATTGGAAAAACTCTTCTAGACATTGGCTTAGGAAAGAATTCATGACAAAGACTCCAAAAGCAAATTTAACAAAAACAAAAATAAATAAATGGGACCTAATTAAACTAAAAAGCTTCTGTACAGCAAAAGAAATAATCAGCAGAGTAAACAAACAACCCACAGATTGGGAGAAAATATTCAAAACTATGCTTCTGACAAAGCACCATTATCCAGAATCTACAAGGAACTCAAATAAATCAGAAAAAAAAAATAATCCCATGAAAAAGCAGGCAGATGACATAAATAGACAATTCTCAAAAGATGATATACAAACAGCCAACAAATGTATGAAAAAATGCTCAACATCACTAATTATCAGAGAAATACAAATTAAAACCACAATGCGATGCCACTTTACTCCTGCAAGAATGGTAATAATTAAAAAGTAAAAAAATAATAGATGTTGGCATGGATATGGTGAAAAGGGAACACTTTTACTGCTGGTAGGAATGTGAAGTAGTTCAACCACTATGGAAAACAGTGTAGTAGTCTGTTCTCACACTACTATAAAGATACTACCTGAGACTGGGTAATTTACAAACAAAAGAGGTTTAACTCACTCACAGTTCTGCATGGCTGGGGAGGCCTCAGGAAACTTACAATTATGGCAGAAAGTGAAGGGGAAGCAGGCACCATCTTCATAAGGCAGCAGGAGAGAGAGATCGAGCAAAGAGGAAGCGCTACACTTTTAAGCCATCAGATCTCATGAGAACTTTCTCACTATCATGAGAACAGCATGGGGGAAACTGCCCCCATAATCTAATCACCTCCTACCAGGTCCCTCCCTGGACATGTGGGGATTACAATTCAAGATGAGATTTGGGTAGGGACACTGAACCAAACCACATCAAGCAGTATGGAAATTCCTTAAAGAACTAAAAGCAGAACTACCATTTGATCCAGCAATCCCACTGCTAGGTATCTACCCAAAAGAAAATGAGTCATTATATGAAAAGACAAATGCACACACATTTTCATAGAAGCACAATTCACAACTGCAAAAATACTGAACCAACCTACATGCCCATCAACCAACAAGTGGATAAACAAAATGTGGCATATATATATATGCCATATATATATGCCATATATATATAGTATATATATATGGCATATATATATAGTATATATATGGCATATATATATAGTATATATATGGCATATATATATAGTATATATATGCCATATATATATAGTATATATATATATGGCATATATATATACACACATACATATAATGGTGTGTGTGTGTATATATATATGTGTGTGTGTATATATATATAATGGTGTGTGTGTGTATATATATATACACACATATATATATACACATTATATATATACACACACACACCATGGAATACTACTCAACCATAAAAGGAATGAAATAGTGTCTTTTGCAGCAACTTGGAAGGAGCTGGAGGCCATTATTCTAAATGAAGTAACTCAGGAATGGAAAACCAAATATTGTATGTTTTCAGTTACAAGTGGGAGCTAAGTTATGAGGCTGCAAAGACATAAGAATAATATTAGGAACTTTGTGGACTCCAGGGGAAAGGTGGGAGGGGAGTGAAAGATAAAAGACTACATATTGAGTACAGTGTACACTGCTCAGGTGACAGGTGCACCAAAATCTCAGAAATCACTACTAAAGAACTTATCAATATACCCAAAAACCACCTGCGTCCCCAAAACTATTGAAATAAAAAAAGAACGAATAAAAGTATGAGATTCAGAAACTATCCATTCATTTTCTATTTAAGTTAATTTTTAAATTTCTAAACATTATTATTTCACAGTCTTTAATAGCCTATATAACTAACTCCATATTTCAAAATTTCTATTAGCCATCAAAATCTGTCATACAATTAATCATGAAAACAGTTAAACTTGAAACATTAAAAAAACCACTGAACATATTAGGGAGGTGAGCACTGAGATTTGAAGGAAGTCTGGAGCATAAATAGAATGCAAGCCAGCTTCAAAGATTTTGCTCATGAGTATACTATAAGCAATGAAATATTTATTTATTTCATTAATGTCTTCATTCATATGGGTCAAAATGAGCAGAAATTGTAACACTTTGTAGCAAATTCCATTCTATGGAAAGAAGGCATGAGTATGGCTTCTGTGTAAAATAGAACAGTGTTTCTGAAATAGACATATAAAGTAAAATATTAAAGAAATAAAGATTTACCACATAGCTAGCCTTAAATCTGACCTCTGCTCATCTTTCTAGATTTATTTTTACTGTTATATTCTTTCACACTCAATGCCTTGGTCTTGCTGACATAATTTTTTGTACCTGAGCCTCTTTATTCTTCTATCAGTTTTCTAGCTATTACTTCTACAAACCTTCCTCCTAACCCAACTTTTCCTGGGTTAGTAAGTAAGAAGTAAGGTTAGTTACCCTTACTTCTCAGCTCAAGTGCGATTTCCTTCTCTGTCCCATCCACTGCCCAGTCTGGATCAGGTGTCCCTCAAGATACTTTTATTTCAACCAGGACTTACCTTTCTCATGGCACTAAGAACATTATTTTAATCATCTAGTTACTGTTTCTCTGGATCAGAAGGCAGAGAATATTTCAGACACTGTTTTTATTCTGAGCTCCAAACTCTTATGTAACTGCCTAATACATGATGATAGGTACACAACAAATGATTACTTTATCAATGTATTATGCATAGGTGCCAGCACAAGTGGCAACAAGACAAAAAACAGGATAGCCAATTCATCCAAGAGGAAATAAAATTAGTTAAATATATCTTGCTTACTACACAACCTGAAAAGGTGAAAATTAAGACAAATTTGTACTTATTAGTTTATTCAAAGAGAAAATATATTAATAACCTTATTTGATAACAGTTATGAGATGAAAATGTTATCATCATGCATTACTAGTAGCAATGCAAATGAAAACATGTTTTTGTAAAAATTATTGTAAAGAATACCAAGAACCCCGAAAACCATAAAAATGTTAATGCCCATTTGACCCTTTCAGAGAATTTATTATTCAGAAACAAACCAAAGGATGGAAAACATTTTATTTCCAAGTTAAGGCTCATTCCTGAGCTCCAGACATATCTACCTTGCTGACAATCAGACAGCTCTACTAGTGCATTTGGCAGGCATTCAAATTCAACATGTTTGAAATTAAACTTATTCCTCTTTGGAAATATGACTCCTGGTTAGGTGCCAGAGTATATTCTTTCTTAGTTAACACAACCAGCATCCATTCAATTGTCTACATGAGAAACCTGAGAGCTATCTTCAAATCCCTCCTCTCTACTTCACTGGACTCATCAATTAAATACAAAGATCCTTTCATTTTACCAATTCCAATTGTTTCTTTCCATCTCCTCTTTTATTATCTTTGCCCAAGGGTCTAGCATCCCTCACTTGAATTGCTTCAATTGCCTCCACTTTTAGCTTATCAGTTCCATATTGTACAAACCAAAAGATACTTCTACAAGACAAATTTATCATGTCCTTCTCCTGAATAAGTCTTTCCAGTATTTTCTTATCACTATTTCTTATTGCTTCTTAACTTAGCTTAAAAGGCAAAATGTTGTCCACTCTAGGACTCTTCCATACTTTTTATTCTATGTGCTAGGCAGGTTCTCTAATTCTTCTGGGCCTTATCACTTGATTTACCCACTATTTGGAAGGATATACTCATCCCATATCTCCCTCTTCCGGCTGATTCCTACCCATCTATTAGGTTTCTGCTTAAGTATTACTTCCTCTGGAAAACCTTAGTAGACAATATTCCTTAGCACAATATATCTTTCCTCTTATATTATTTGTAATAATAAATGTTTTAATTAATAATAAACTAACTTTCTGAAATACTAGACTCCAGGAAGGCTAGCATTATTTCTATCATGCCTGTTAACGTATGCTTAATGCCTAGTACACTAAGAAAATGGGAAATAATTGTGGAATGAAAGAACAATGCAGTCACCAAAACATAATATATACATATATAATGTACATATCAAGTATAAGATATGTATAAGATTAAGTATAAGATATCTATATCTTATTCTTACATAAGCTATACATATATGTATATATAGATACTTATATAAGATATACACATGCATATATTATATACACATATATGTATAATATATAATATATACATATATTGGGATTTATAATGTAAATCCCATTATATCTACTGATACTTATATTTAAGATATACATATGTATCTCACATATATTTAAGATATACATATGTATACATATATTTAAGATACATATGTATATTTAAGATAAACATATATATACGTATACATTTGTTGTCTTTTTACAACAAAAGCAATCACAGTCAATATCAGAAGTAATACAGAAAAGTGAGTACTCATATATTTTAGGGGAAATGTGAATTGCTTCAAATTTTAGATTCAGTAACCTAGCAATGTCTATTAAAATTTAAAAAAAATACTCTCTTTGGAGTAGTAATTTTAGTTTTGGAAATATATCATGCAGGCCCACAAGCTCTGATATATGAGAACCTATGTACAAAACATTTATGAAAGCATTGTTTGTAGTGGCCAACAAAAGAAAAATAATAACAAATAAAAATGCTATTCCTTGAAACACACATATATTCATCATTAAGGATATAGTAAATTATTCTTTAGGTTTTATGTTGTTTTTAACTGAACCATAATAATTGTACAGCCAGGCACAGTGGCACACTCCTATATTCCTACATACTCAGGAAGCTGAGGCAGGATGATTGCTTGAGCTCAGGAGTTCCAGACTAGCCCAGGAAACATAGAAAAACTCTGTTTCAAAATATAGGCAAACAACAACAAAAAATTGTAAATATTTATGGTATATAATGTCATGTTTTGATACAGGCATATATTGTGTATTCATCAAATCAAGATAATTAGCATATCGATCACCTCACACATTTATCATTTTTTTTAGTGAGAGCATTCAAAATCCTCTCTTCTAGCTATTTAAAAATATGCAATGCATTATTTTTAACTATAGTCACCCTACTGTGAACTGGAGCACCAGAACTTATTTCTCCTACCTAACTGTAGCTTTGTATCTGTTAACCAGTTTTTCCCCATCCATCTCTCTATTCTCCCTAACCTCTAGTATCTACTCCATAGTCCTATGAGATCAATTTTTTTAAATTCCACATATGAGCTAGATCATGCAATACTTGTTCTTCTGTGCTTGGCTCACTTCATGTAACATAATACCCTCTAGGATCATTTCTATTGCTGCAAATGAAAGAATTTTACTCTTTTTAATGCTGAATAGTATTCCATTGTTTATAAATACATTTTCTAATCCACTGAGGGACATCTGTGTTGATTCCATATCTTGGCTATTGCGAATATTGCTGCAATAAACATGAAAGTACAAACATTTCTTTGACATGCTGATTTCATTTCTTTTCAGCATATACCCACTAGTGGGATTGTGGGATCATATGCTAGTTCTATTTTCAATTTTTTGAGGAACAGGCACACTGTTGTTCCTAAGGACTATACTAATTTATATTCCTACCAACAGTGTACACAAGTTTTCCTTTCTCCACATCTTTACCAGCATTTATTATTTTTTGTCTTTTTGAGACTAGCCATTCTAACTGGGGTGAGATGCTATCTCAGTGATTTTGATTAGAATTTTCCTTATGATTAGTGATGCTGAGGCATTTTTTAATTTATCTTTTGTCAATTTGTATGTCTTCTTTTGAGAAATGTCTTCTTTTGCCACTTCGTTCTGCTTATTATTATTATTGCTATTGAGTTTCTTATATATTCTGGATGTTAACCTTTGTGAGTTATATAGTTTGCAAACATTTTGTCTCATTCTATAGGTTGTCTCTTCAGTCTGTTAGGAGTTTCCTTCACTGTGCAGAGCTTTTTTGTTTGATGCAATTCCATTTGCCTAATTTTGCTTTTGTTGCCTGTGCTTTTGAGGCTCTATCCAAAAAATTCTTGCTCAGACCAATGTCCTGAAGCATTTTCCCTAAGTTTTCTTTTTATTTATATAGCTTGGGGTCTTACTCATAAGTATTTACTCCATTTTGAGTTGATTTTTATATATGGTAAGAGATAGGGGACTAGTTTAACTCTTCTTCATGTGGATATTCCGTTTCCTAGCTGAAAACACCATCCTTTCTCCAATGTGTGTTCTTGGCAATTTTGTAAAAAAAAATAAGTTGGCTGTAAATGCATGAAATTATTTCTGAATTCTCTATTCTGGTCCATTGGTATAGTGTCTGTTCTCATGTCAGTACTTTGCTGTCTTGATTTCTATACCTTTGTAATACATTTTGAAGTTAGGTTGTGGGATGCCTCCAGTTTTATTCTTTTTGTTCAAGATTGCTTTGGCTATTCATTGACTTTTGTGGTTTCATACAAATTTTAGGATTTTTTTTCTATTTCTGTGAAGAGTGTCACTGGTATTTTGATAAGGATTGCATTGACTCTATGGATTGCCAAAGAATCAAAACATACTACTAGAGAAAATCACCTAACCACAAAGGAAGACACTAAGGAAAAAAGGGAGAAATGATCTACAAAACAATGAGCAAAAACATAAGAAAATGACAACATGTGTCCTTGCTTATTAATAGTTATGTTGAATGTAAATGGATTAAATTATCCAATTAAAAGACAGAGTGACTGAATGGATTTTAAAAATGACTTAATTATCGGCTACCTATAAGAGACTCACTTCACCTGTAGGGACATACATAGACTGAAGGTGAAGGGATGGAAAAATATATTCCATGCAAATGGAAATCAATAAGGGGCAGGAGTGGCTATACTTATACCAGATAAAATAGACTTCATTAGCAAAAACTGCAAAAAGAGACAAAGAAAGTCATTATATGATGATAAAGGGGTAAACACAGCAAGAATATTTACTAAGGTAGAAATATATATACACCTAACATCAGAGCTCAACCTAAACATATAAAGGAAATATTAAAAGACCTAAAGGGAGAGATCAACTGCAATACAATAATAGCAGTGGAGCTGAACAACCCACTTTCAATAAGGGTTGTTTCACCTAGGAAGAAAATCAACCAAGAAGCATCAGAACTAAACCAGGTTCAAGATCAAATGGACCTGAAAGATATTTACAAGGCATTTCATCTAATGGTTGCAGAATATACACTCTTAACAGGACATGGAACATTCTGTAGGATAGATCATTAGTTAGGCTACAAAATAAGTATTAAAAAATTTTTAAAAAATCAAAATTATAGCAAGTTTTTTTTTATTACCACGACGGAATAAAAGTAGAAATCACTAATAGGTGGAATTTTGAGAACTATACAAATACATGAAAATTAAACAATATGATCCTTAAAAACCAATGGGTCAATGAATAAAATTAAAAAAATTTCTCGGGGGGAGGAGCCAAGATGGCCAAATAGGAACAGCTCCGGTCTACAGCTCCCAGCGTGAGCGACACAGAAGATGGGTGATTTCTGCATTTCCATCTGAGGTACTGGGTTCATCTCACTAGGGAGTGCCAGACAGTGGGCGCAGGTCAGTGGGTGCGTGCACCGTGTGCGAGCCGAAGCAGGGCGAGGCATTGCCTCACTTGGGAAGCGCAAGGGGTCAGGGAGTTCCCTTTCTGAGTCAAAGAAAGGGGTGACGGACGGCACCTGGAAAATCGGGTCACTCCCACCCGAATACTGCACTTTTCCAACGGGCTTAAAAAACAGCGCACCATGAGATTATATCCTGCACCTGGCTCCGAGGGTCCTACGACCACGGAGTCTCACTGATTGCTAGCACAGCAGTCTGAGATCAGACTGCAAGGCAGCAGTGAGGCTGGGGGAGGGGTGCCCGCCATTGCCCAGGCTTGATTAGGTAAACAAAGCAGCCAGGAAGCTTGAACTGGGTGGAGACCACCACAGCTCAAGGAGGCCTGCCTGCCTCTGTAGGCTCCACCTCTGGGGGCAGGGCACAGACAAACAAAAAGACAGCAGTAACCTCTGCAGACTTAAATGTCCCTGTCTGACAGCTTTGAAGAGAGCAGTGGTTCTCCCAGCACGCAGCTGGAGATCTGAGAATGGGCAGACTGCCTCCTCAAGTGGGTCCCTGATCCCTGACCCCCGGGCAGCCTAACTGGGAGGCGCCCCCCAGCAGGGGCACACTGACACCTCACACGGCAGGGTATTCCAACAGACCTGCAGCTGAGGGTCCTGTCTGTTAGAAGGAAAACTAACAAACAGAAAGGACATCCACACCAAAAACCCATCTGTACATCACCATCATCAAAGACCAAAAGTAGATAAAACCACAAAGATGGGGAAAAAACAGAACAGAAAAACTGGAAACTCTAAAAAGCAGAGCGCCTCTCCTCCTCCAAAGGAATGCAGTTCCTCACCAGCAACGGAACAAAGCTGGATGGAGAATGACTTTGACGAGCTGAGAGAAGAAGGCTTCAGACGATCAAATTACTCTGAGCTACGGGAGGACATTCAAACCAAAGGCAAAGAAGTTGAAAACTTTGAAAAAAATTTAGAAGAATGTATAACTAGAATAACCAATACAGAGAAGTGCTTAAAGGAGCTGATGGAGCTGAAAACCAAGGCTCGAGAACTACGTGAAGAATGCAGAAGCCTCAGGAGCTGATGTGATCAACTGGAAGAAAGGGTAGCAGTGATGGAAGATGAAATGAATGAAATGAAGCGAGAAGGGAAGTTTAGAGAAAAAAGAATAAAAAGAAATGAGCAAAGCCTCAAAGAAATATGGGACTATGTGAAAAGACCAAATCTACGTCTGATTGGTGTACCTGAAAGGGATGGGGAGAATGGAACCAAGTTGGAAAACACTCTGCAGGATATTATCCAGGAGAACTTCCCCAATCTAGCAAGGCAGGCCAACGTTCAGATTCAGGAAATACAGAGAACACCACAAAGATACTCCTCTAGAAGAGCAACTCCAAGACACATAATTGTCAGATTCACCAAAGTTGAAATGAAGGAAAAAATGTTAAGGGCAGCCAGAGAGAAAGGTCGGGTTACCCTCAAAGGGAAGCCCATCAGACTAACAGCGGATCTCTCGGCAGAAACCCTACAAGCCAGAAGAGAGTGGGGGCCAATATTCAACATTCTTAAAGAAAAGAATTTTCAACACAGAATTTCATATCCAGCCAAACTAAGCTTCGTAAGTGAAGGAGAAATAAAATACTTTACAGACAAGCAAATGCTGAGAGATTTTGTCACCACCAGGCCTGCCTTACAAGAGCTCCTGAAGGAAGCACTAAACATGGAAAGGAACAACCGGTACCAGCCGCTGCAAAATCATGCCAAAATGTAAAGACCATCGAGACTAGGAAGAAACTGCATCAACTAATGAGCAAAATAACCAGCTAACATCATAATGACAGGATCAAATTCACACATAACAATATTAACTTTAAATGTAAATGGACTAAATGCTCCAATTAAAAGACACAGACTGGCAAATTGGATAAAGAGTCAAGACCCATCAGTGTGCTGTATTCAGGAAACCCATCTCACGGGCAGAGACACACATAGGCTCAAAATAAAAGAATGGAGGAAGATCTACCAAGCCAATGGAAAACAAAAAAAAGGCAGGGGTTGCAATCCTAGTCTCTGATAAAACAGACTTTAAACCAACAAAGATCAAAAGAGACAAAGAAGGCCATTACATAATGGTAAAGGGATCAATTCAACAAGAAGAGCTAACTATCCTAAATATATATGCACCCAATACAGGAGCACCCAGATTCATAAAGCAAGTCCTGAGTGACCTACAAAGAGACTTAGACTCCCACACATTAATAATGGGAGACTTTAACACACCACTGTCAACATTAGACAGATCAACGAGACAGAAAGTTAACAAGGATACCCAGGAATTGAACTCAGCTCTGCACCAAGCGGATCTAATAGACATCTACAGAACTCTCCACCCCAAATCAACAGAATATACATTTTTTTCAGCACCACACCACACCTATTCCAAAATTGACCACATACTGGGAAGTAAAGCTCTCCTCAGCAAATGTAAAAGAACAGAAATTATAACAAACTATCTCTCAGACCACAGTGCAATCAAACTAGAACTCAGGATTAAGAATCTCACTCAAAACTGCTCAACTACATGGAAACTGAACAACCTGCTCCTGAATGACTACTGGGTACATAATGAAATGAAGGCAGAAATAAAGATGTTCTTTGAAACCAACGAGAACAAAGACACAACATACCAGAATCTCTGGGACGCATTCAAAGCAGTGTGTAGAGGGAAATTTATAGCACTAAATGCCCATAAGAGAAAGCAGGAAAGATCCAAAATTGACACTCTAACATCACAATTAAAAGAACTAGAAAAGCAAGAGCAAACACATTCAAAAGCTAGCAGAAGGCAAGAAATAACTAAAATCAGAGCAGAACTGAAGGAAATAGAGACACAAAAAACCCTTCAAAAAATTAATGAATCCAGGAGCAGGTTTTTTGAAAGGATCAACAAAACTGATAGACTGCTAGCAAGACTAATAAAGAAAAAAAGAGAGAAGAATCAAATAGATGCAATAAAAAATGATAAAGGGGATATCACCACCGATCCCACAGAAATACAAACTACCATCAGAGAATACTACAAACACCTCTATGCAAATAAACTAGAAAATCTAGAAGAAATGGATAAATTCCTGGACACATACACTCTCCCAAGACTAAACCAGGAAGAAGTTGAATCTCTGAATAGAACAATAACAGGAGCTGAAATTGTGGCAATAATCAATAGCTTACCAACCAAAAAGAGTCCAGGACCAGATGGATTCACAGCCGAATTCTACCAGAGGTACAAGGAGGAACTGGTACCATTCCTTCTGAAATTATTCCAATCAATAGAAAAAGAGGGAATCCTCCCTAACTCATTTTATGAGGCCAGCATCATTCTGATACCAAAGCCAGGAAGAGACACAACAAAAAAAGAGAATTTTAGACCAATATCCTTGATGAACATTGATGCAAAAATCCTCAATAAAATACTGGCAAAACGAATCCAGCAGCACATCAAAAAGCTTATCCACCATGACTAAGTGGGCTTCATCCCTGGGATGCAAGGCTGGTTCAATATACGCAAATCAATAAATGTAATCCAACATATAAACAGAGCCAAAGACAAAAACCACATGATTATCTCAATAGATGCAGAAAAAGCCTTTGACAAAATTCAACAACCTTTCATGCTAAAAACTCTCAATAAATTAGGTATTGATGGGACGTATTTCAAAATAATAAGAGCTATCTATGACAAACCCACAGCCAATATCATACTGAATGGGCAAAAACTGGAAGCATTCCCTTTGAAAACTGGCACAAGAGAGGGATGCCCTCTCTCACCACTCCTATTCAACATAGTGTTGGAAGTTCTGGCCAGGGCAATTAGGCAGGAGAAGGAAATAAAGGGTATTCAATTAGGAAAAGAGGAAGTCAAATTGTCCCTGTTTGCAGACGACATGATTGTATATCTAGAAAACCCCATTGTCTCAACCCAAAATCTCCTTAAGCTGATAAGCAACTTCAGCAAAGTCTCAGAATACAAAATCAATGTACAAAAATCACAAGCATTCTTATACACCAACAACAGACAAACAGAGAGCCAAATCATGAGTGAACTCCCATTCACAATTGCTTCAAAGAGAATAAAATACCTAGGAATCCAACTTACAAGGGATGTGAAAGACCTCTTCAAGGAGAACTACAAACCACTGCTCAAGGAAATAAAAGAGGATACAAACAAATGGAAGAACATTCCATGCTCATGGGTAGGAAGAATCAATATCATGAAAATGGCCATACTGCCCAAGGTAATTTACAGATTCAATGCCATCCCCATCAAGCTACCAATGACTTTCTTCACACAGTTGGAAAAAACTACTTTAAACTTCATATGGAACCAAAAAAGAGCCTGCATTGCCAAGTCAATCCTAAGCCAAAAGAACAAAGCTGGAGGCATCACACTACCTGACTTCAAACTATACTACAAGGCTACAGTAACCAAAACAGCATGGTACTGGTACCAAAACAGAGATATAGATCAATGGAACAGAACAGAGCCCTCAGAAATAACGCCGCATATCTACAACTATCTGATCTTTGACAAACCTGAGAAAAACAAGCAATGGGGAAAGGATTCCCTATTTAATAAATGGTGCTGGGAAAACTGGCTAGCCATATGTAGAAAGCTGAAACTGGATCCCTTCCTTACACCTTATACAAAAATCAATTCAAGATGGATTAAAGACTTAAATGTTAGACCTAAAACCATAAAAACCCTAGAAGAAAACCTAGGCATTACCATTCAGGACATAGGCATGGGCAAGGACTTCATGTCTAAAACACCAAAAGCAATGGCAACAAGAGACAAAATTGACACATGGGATCTAATTAAACTAAAGAGCTTCTGCACAGCAAAAGAAACTACCATCAGAGTGAACAGGCAACCTACAAAATGGGAGAAAATTTTCGCAACCTATTCATCTGACAAAGGGCTCATATCCAGAATCTACAATGAACTCAAACAAATTTACAAGAAAAAAACAAACAACCCCATCAAAAAGTGGGCGAAGGACATGAACAGACACTTCTCAAAAGAAGACATTTATGCAGCCAAAAAAACACATGAAAAAATGGTCATCATCACTGGCCATCAGAGAAATGCAAATCAAAACCACAATGAGATACCATCTCACAGCAGTTAGAATGGCAATCATTAAAAAGTCAGGAAACAACAGGTGCTGGAGAGGATGTGGAGAAATAGGAAGACTTTTACACTGTTGGTGGGACTGTAGACTAGTTCAACCATTGTGGAAGTCAGTGTGGCGATTCCTCAGGGATCTAGAACTAGAAATACCATTTGACCCAGCCATCCCATTACTGGGTATATACCCAAAGGACTATAAATCATGCTGCTATAAAGACACATGCACATGTATGTTTATTGTGGCATTATTCACAATAGCAAAGACTTGGAACCAACCCAAATGTCCAACAATGATAGACTGGATCAAGAAAATGTGGCACATATACACCATGGAATACTATGCAGCCATAAAAAATGATGAGTTCATGTCCTTTGTAGGGACATGGATGAAATTGGAAATCATCATTCTCAGTAAACTATCGCAAGAACAAAAAACCAAACACTGCATATTCTCACTCATAGGTGGGAATTGAACAATGAGATCACGTGGACACAGGAAAGGGAATATCACACTCTGGGGACTGTTGTGGGGTGGGGGGAGGGGGGAGGGATAGCATCGGGAGATATACCTAATGCTAGATGACGAGTTAGTGGGTGCAGCGCACCAGCTTGGCACATGTATACATATGTAACTAACCTGCACAATGTGCACATGTACCCTAAAACTTAAAGTATAATAAAAAAAAACATAAAATTTAAGCTGAAATAAATTAAAATGTATTTTTTTGAAGTAAAAAAAAAAAAAATTTCTCAAGACAAATGAAAACAGAAACACAACATACCAAAACCTGTGGTATAGAGCAAAAGTAGTTTTAAGAGGGAAGTTCATAGTAATAGATATCTACATCAAAAAAGTAGATAGATCTTAATTATACTACTTAATGTTGCATCTCCAGGAACTATAAAACATGAGCAACTAAGCCCAAAATTAGCAGAAGAAAAAATAATAATGAAGAATGTAACAGAAATGAGATAGAGACTAAAAATAATTTAGAAGACCAATGAAATGAAGAGGTGGTTTTTTAAAAAGATAAACAAAATTGACCAACATTTAGGTAAACTAAGGAAAAGAAGGTGAGACCCAAATAAATGAAATCAGGGTGAAAAAGGAAATATTTCAACTAATATCACACAAATATAAAGGATCTTTAGAGGTGATTATGAACAACTATATGCTAACAAATTTGAAAACCTACAAGAAATGGGTATATTCCTGAACACATACAACCTATCAAAGTTGAATCATAAAGAAACAGAAAACCTGAACAGACCAACAAAGAGTAATGAGATTGAATCAGTAATAAAAATTCCCCTCAAAAAAAAAAAAAAAAAACCCAGGACTTGATTACATCAATACCGAATTACATCAAACATTTAAAAAACTAATACCAATTCTTCTCAAACCACTCTGAAAAAAGTGAAGAGGATGGAATTATCCCACACTTATTCTTTGAGGCTAGCACTATCCTGATACCAAAACCATACAAGAACACAACAAATAAAGAAAACTACAGACTAATATCCCTGATGAACATAGATGAAATATTCTCAGAAAAATACTAGCAAACTGAATTCAACAGCACATTAAAATGATAATCCACCATGACCAAATGAGATTAATCCCAGGCTTATAAGAATGGTTTAACATATGCAAATCAATAAACTTTATATCATATTAACAGAACAAGGATAAAAACCATATAATCAATTCAATAGACATAGGAAAAACATTTGATAATTTAACACCCCTTTATGATTAAAATCCTCAACAAATTACGTGTACAAGAAATGCACCTCAACATAATAAAAGCCATATATGACAAATCCACAGCTAACATTATACTGAATGGGGAAAAGTTAAAAGCTTTTTCTCTAAGATCTGGAACTAGACAAGGATGCCCACTTTCACCACTTTCTTTTTCAGCAGTGTACTGGTTGAATTATTTTTTGCACAAATTACATTATCATTATGCAGCTATCACAAACAAAAAGATGGATCAACATTTTAGACTTAGAATGATGTTTTGAGAAATGAAGCGAATAAAGCAAGTTCACATGGAAAAGAAAGCATCAACAATATAAATAACCATATAGATAAGCATACATATATAGGCATAAAGAAATAATAGAATAATATTCAAATGGTCAGCATTAGTTATCATAAAGTGTTAGGATTAAGAGGCATAAGGAATGATTATTAAATTTCCCATTATACATCTCTGTATTATTTGACTTATTACAAAAATCTAATAAGGAAGGAAATATGCATGTGAAAATAAAGTGTATTAATAACATGAAAATCATGATTATTATTTTCTACGTACCTTGAAATATGCTATTTTTACAATATGTATTTTAAAAGTGGAAAACATAAATAAAACAATGATATCTTACATCTCTGTTTAAGTTGGTTAAAACTGAATCTGTAAGTGTCTCTGGTCATTTGTTTGTCAAAGTATTTTCATATTGCTCCATACATCTTTTCAGCTGATCAAAAATCTGAGTCCTCTGAAATCGTTTCCTGACCCTTTAAGCCTCCTGCTTGAGTTCCTGCCTCCTGAGCACATATCTTCCCCTGAAGTCTCTCTTTATTAGGCATTTACTCTCTCACATGGCACATACCTAAGGGGGCAGGGATGGGGTGCAAGTTTTTATTTTCATTTTTCTTATTGTAGATTTCTACAATTCTGCTCTCCCTCATTCACATAAAACTAGCAACAGGGAAAAGGGAAGGGGAGATTCTTGACCCATCTCTTTCAAAAATATTTTTTTGCTCTATCTCAGCTATCTACTGTTAATACTAGAATCTTTACCACCTCTGAAATCACAAATCACATAAAATCTGTATTCTGATTACCATTTCTTATCCTTCAAGCTCACTTACTCCATTATCACCATTACCATGGTTCATCTTCCAATTCAATAACTCTAGCACGTTTTATTGGCCATCATTCTTTTCATTTTTTAACTTTCCTTATTTAGCTTGGATAACAAAGTTCATCATTATAAAATTGGCCTTGAAAATAACTTCAATTTCCTTGCCACTTTCTTCTACTTCACTGATCTGAGTAAAATGCCAACTCTGGATGACCCTTCAATTATCTTTCTTCTTTCTACCTTCCTTAAGCCAATGAACACTGCAGGAGAAAATTTACTCTTCAACCTACACCAATCTTGCTTTTCTTTCACCAGTTTCACCAGCAGTTACAAGAAAATGCTTTTGCTGAAATCAGAAATAACTTTTATGTTGCTAAACTCAACATACACTCTTCTTCAGTCCTCATCAGATATTTTAGTAAAATTCAATACTACCAATTATTACCTCCATCTTGAAAATCTCTTTTTCCTTGGCTCCTTTTTTTCCTTCTTTTTCTCACTTCACTGGCTTTACCCTATCAGTTGCCTTTTCCAGAAACTTCTTTGCAGCCTCTTACTGCTTCAGTCTCTTGGAATTCAGGCCTTGGCTCTCTTCTTGCTCTGGATTGTGTTCTGAGGTGATATCATCCTTTTAGACGTCATTGAGACACCCCAAAACCATGAATCTAGTCCTAATCATTTTTCTCTCAAAACTTAAGTACTCAGTTACCTAGTTCTGTATCATTTGTCTATTTTTTGACATATCCAAACCTGAAATAGTCATCTTTTTCTCATCCCTAACTTGCTTTTACTGCAGTCTCCTTCTACCAGTAATTTGCTCTTGCATCTACTCAGTTGTTTATGCCAAAATGTGGAATCACCATTTATATGACTCACTCTCATTCCTCATATCTAATTCAGTATTATCTATAAAATATGTATCCAATTTGTTGCAATAATTGGTTTATATTCTTCACTCACTATCTGTTTTAAAACTATACATACACATCCCTTGTGCATGATTTTGTCGTATTACACTAGAGTAGCCAAACTGTACTTCCCCACCCAGTGTTATGCTTGCTCATGTGATTTCCTTTAACTAATGGAATGTAGGTAGATACAACATATGCCCCATCTAACACAAGACTTAATATAAAGCAAGTAAAAGCAAGGATTGACTGGTTGAATTGATTTGGTTGTGGAAAGCAACCAATCAGACTGATTGCAGGCCATTACTTCATTTGCATTGGGTGTACAACAAGTGGCCAATGGAAAACCTCTAGAGGGTATTTGGATCCCAGAAGATCTGTAACCAGGGCCCTTGAGTGGCTGCTCCTGCCAGCTCCCACCCTTCAGAGTGTACTTTCATTTTCAATAAATCTCTGCTTTGATTGTTTCGTTCTTTCCTTGCTTTGCTGTATATTTTATCCAATTCTTTGTTCAAAACATCAAGAACCTGGACAACTTGCAGTCAAGACCCTCCACCAGCAACAACATACTCTGTCTTTTTTTCCTTCTAAAATATTGAAAGCTTCATAAAGGTAAAGGTAGAGTCTTTATTTTGTTTATCCATAGATGTATGCTGCAAATAAATTCAGTGTTTAGGTCCAAGTTCCTGAGAGTATATTGATTTTGTTGAGCTCTTGATAGTATTTGTTCTTGTTGAATTCCTATAATTATATCCAATACTGATTAAGGATGAATGGCATTAATTTAAATAACAGCCAAAAGAACTTGAATGATTTTTTTTTTATTTCTCCAGTGGTTAGATGAAGAAATGAAAATGATTGATAAGGTATTTAAGGAGAGAAAAACAAGAGAAATTTAACGTGTTAAAATATTAAAACCTAAGTAAAAGATATATGTATATTATTTTAGTATGAATAACTAAAATTGTAAAATGTATCTAGTGATTTTAACACATATCTTGAAAATATAAAAGTAGTCATTTGTACATTCAAGGAAAGGAACAAGCATTGAGTATAAAAATCTTAATTATATGATTTTATGATTTCCTGTCACTAAAGTGATGATCTTCCCCACATACTTTCTGGGAAAGCTAGCAATGGAAATGCACCAGTCATGGTTTATTTGGAACTTCATCTGGAAGTCTTTTACAACTGAAGAAAATCAGCAGGGAAAATACTCAGACTTGATTAAGTGCCTGATGGTTGTTACAGCTGGTGAACCTATTATTGACCTGACTCGTGTGCATACTGTTGGTTCAAATCTAACCCGTCCCATATGGAAACTCCTATTCTTTCATTATTATTTGCTCATAGGCACACTGGGGTGTTATTCAACCTAATTCTGGACTGCAGTTAACTATACTACAATCTTTTCTCTCAAGAAAATGACTTATTGTAGAATTCCTGATCATAAGAATGAGTGACCCAAGGTTCATATTTTCAAATTAACTGCAAACTATGGTAAAAATTCCTGAATTAGAAACCAAAATGAATTGTATTTTCCTATTTCCTATCTCCTCTGCCACTTCCACATTGGGAAGAAACTTCCTTTACTTTTCTAAGACTCCATTTTTTTTTTTTACTAAAAAGAAAGAAAGTCTACTTTATTATTTTTTATTTATTCAAAAAAACAAATAAATATATAACATAATGAGAGGATATATGTGAAAGTACCTTGCAAAATTTAAAGACTGACTACTATTCGTACAGCACATTATTATACGTTTCCTTACTCTGTCTTGGCCAGGTTGCTGCCCAAATATGTTAACAGAACGTAGACTATTAAAGATATATACTTCGAGAATCAATATTTCTTAATCTTCATGATTTTAACATGATGGACTAAAATTTGAGCCACTTTAATAAGAAATTTCTGAGTTGATTACAACTGTTTTGTGTGCATTTTATTTTTTGAAATGATATTTATGTTTCAAAACTAAAAACGACACAAAAATGGCTGGGCACAGTGGCCCACGCCTGCAATCCCAGCGCCTTGGGGGGCTGAGGCGGGTGGATCACGAGGTCAGGAGATTGAGACCATCCTGGCTAACATGGTGAAACCCCGTCTCTACTAAAAATACAAAAAAAAATAGCTGGGCATGTGGCGCATTCCTGTAGTCCCAGCTACTCAGGAGGCTGAGGCAGGAGAATAGCTTGAACCTCACTTGTGGAGGTTGCAGTGAGCCGATATCGCACCACTGCACTCCAGCCTGGTGACAGAGCGAGACTCGATCTCAAAAAAAAAAACAAAACAAAAAAACTACACAAAAATGTATACTTCTAAGAAATCTTGTTCTCACATCAGGGAGCATTTATTGTTTCCCCATCACCATTATATTGTATTTCTCTAGTAAAACAGAATAGCATAGATGTGTGTGTGTGTGTGTGTGTGTGTGTGTGTGTGTGTGTGTATGAGATTTGTTATGAGAATTGGCTTGTGTGATTATGGAAGTTGAGAAGTCCAACAATTTGTGTTCCGCAATCTGAAGAACCAAGAAAGCAAGTGGTATAATTCCATCAGAGTCTGACTGCCTGAGAACCAAAATAACCAATGTGTCTAAGGGCAAAAGAACATGGATGTTTTGATTCAAGCAGGAAGAGTAAATTTGTCCTTCTTCTACCTTTTTATTCTACATGGGCTCTCAACAGATTATGGGTGATGCTCATTCACAATGATGAAGGCCATCTTTACTCAGTCTACTGATTCAAATGCTAAACTTTATTGGAAACATTTCACAGACAAACCCCAAAATGAGGTTTTATCAGTTACATGGGCATCCGTAAGGGATACCCAAATAACTAGTAAAACACACAAAATTAAGCGTCACAACTACCATCCCCCAAGGTAAACTATTTTATTAGTTTCTATTATAAAATCCCAGGCTTTCTTTGTATAAACACAAACAAATATAAATATGTATTCTTATTTGCTCTCTACATTGAGATTGAGATCACTATCCATTATTTTATTTAGTTTGTATTTGCCTGACATACCTGGGCCATCATCTTCTATTTATGTTTAACCATTCTGAAACTATTTGCTTTAGGGATATCACTTCTAAAGCAGAAAGTTGATTTTGCTTTTTAACCCACATTAACAATCTTTTAATAGTTAAGTCCACTTGTATTTATTGAAAAAGATATATGGCAGTCTTTCAGATTTTGTTATATAACAGAGAGCATGCAAAATATAACATTTATGCATATCTATATATTTATGTGAATATGTATATGTGAAGTTACATATATAACTTATACATGTTTGTATGCATATATGTATATATATGTGTGTGTGTGCATGTGTGTGCGTATCTGTATGGCCTGTTTGTCTCCTTTTGCAGTTCCACTGAAATTTTGAAAGTTTTGCATTTTTTTAGTGGTTAACTTTATACTTATACTTGGATACAACACCCTTAGACTTTCTTGCTTTAGATGACATCTCTTTGCTATTTCTTATGGAGAACAATACAGTTAGCTCCAATCCTCTTTCCTTCCATTCTCTCATCTCCTTTGTCATATAATTGTCTTTCTTACTGGATGATTACCTTTGTTCTCTTAAATGTGCTAAAACTTACACCACTTTGTTTAAGTGACATTCTTTAACCCAATCCTTACTGGTAGGTAATCAGTGAGTTTATTCTACTTTGAATGTATGTTCTCCCTTTTCCTCAATTACTATTAGTATTTATATCATTTCTACATCTCAGAGCACTTAAAACTTACATTCCATTTTTTAATCTTTTAGCTTCACTTTTTTTTGCTTAGATTTGCAATTAAATGTATTCAATGCTTACTACTAGTTTTGTGTGTGTGTGTGTGTGTTTTTGTTTGTTTTGTTTTTGCTAAAATATCCTTGATTCACTAGGGCACTCTAGAACTTTTCTCACAGAGAGCTTATGAAAACAATATTCCCAGAATTTTGCATTGAAATTCTATATTTGTAGACTTTACATTTGAAGAACAACTTGCTTGGACATAAAATCCCTGGCCCACATATCCTGTGAACACCACTGTAGTGTATATATTTATAAATATATTATAATTATAAATTATTATGTATTATAAATATTATAATATAATTATAAAGGAATTACTGAATCAAATATTAAAAACAAATTTGATAAACATTTTTTAGTACCTATTATATGTCACGTACTGAGTTAGGTGCTGAGATTATTTAAGATAAAAAAACAAAACAAAAAAACACAAACAAACCTGGAGGAGACTGTTGCAGGCCAAAAGAGTGAGGGTCGTGATCAACTCAGTATATCACTGGAGGCTATATGAGTAAACAGCAAACTGTTCTCATAAAAGCAGAATGTTGACAAACTGCGTCTGCTGCCCAGAAGGGATGCTGAGGGCAGTCACAAACCAGGCACAAGTGTTTCTTGTGATTAGGCACAGCTGAAGCCTGTTAGCAATAATATGAACCTGTGGTCAATTAAGCAGCTGACCAATCGTTACTTCCTGTTCCCTGCTCTTTCTACCCAATAAATAGGAAGGGATGTAGAAGCTCAGGGCTGCTGCCTTTGCTCACTAGAATCAGGGAGCCCTCTTCTCCTTCCCTGGACCCTTTATTTAAAAGTTTCTATTGTCTTAAGGTTTTATTTCTGCGTTCGTCTCTCTTCCTTCAGTCTCGTAACGGCGGTCTCAAGTAGTAACAGTAGTAACTGTGGTAGTGACAGTCTCAAGTAGTAACCGTGGCAGTCTGCCACAGGAGACATGTCAACATATAATTACAATAATATCCAACTACTAATAAAGGAAAACACAAAACATTCAGAGAGTACAAATAGAGGAACAAATAGTACAGATAAAGTCAATATTTATTCTATTTAAGAGTAAAAGCTGGGCCGGGCGTGGTGGCTCACACTTGTAATTCCAGCACTTTGGGATGCTGTGGTGGGCGATCAGGAGATCAAGAGATTAAGACCATCCTGACCAACGTGCTGAAACCTCATCTCTACTAAAAATACAAAAATTAGCTGGGCGTGGTGGCACACACCTGTAGTCCCAGCTACTAGGGAGGCTGAGGCAGGAGAATCACTTGAACCCATGAGGCAGAGGTTGCAGTGAGCCGAGATCGCACCACTGCACTCCAGCCTGGCGACAGAGTGAGACTCTCTCTAACAAAAAAAAAGAAAAGAAAAGAAAAAAGGTAAAGGCAAATACATGCATCTTAACTATCAAACTAATTGCAATTTGCAATATTCTGATTTTAAATAGCTATTTAATATATACGTATCCATTAAGCTGAAAGAGCTAGAGTACAAAGAATATTGCAGGACAGAACTTTATTTTTTCCCACTTCTACTTAGTGCCCTTTCAAACTAACTTTGTGGAGCCTGTTCTTCCTTTCCTCTTGGATGATCTCTCTGACAGATCCCATGATTGTTCCAATTACTCTCATTAGTTCATTCATTTTAATATCTCTTGAGCACCTTTTATCTGCCAGGTGTAGGTGACACATCAGGAAACAAAGCATGAAGTACAAACAAATAATAACAAAAATGCTTTATAATAGGTAAGGTGGTAACAGGTGCTCTACAGTAGTGAAGATAAAAAATGAGTTGTATATAGATCTATTTTTTTTTTTTTGAGATGGAGTCTTGCTCTGTTGCCCAGGCTGGAGTGCAGTGGCGCCATCTCGGCTCACTGCAACTTCTGCCTCCTGTGTTCACGCCATTCTCCTGCCTCAGCCTCCCAAGTAGCTGGGACTACAGGCACCCGCCATCATGCCCAGCTAAGTTTTTGTATTTTTAGTGGAGAGAGGGTTTCACTGTGTTAGCCAGAATGGTCTCGATCTCCTGACCTCGTGATCCACCTGCCTCGGCATCCCAAAGTGCTGGGATTACAGGCATAAGCCACCACACCCGGCCGTATATAGATCTATTTTAAATGGACTGGTCTAGGAAGATGTCTTTGAAAAGTGATGTCTGGGACTTGAAGGAGTGAGTTAGTGAGGAACCCTGAGAATATGTGAGTGGGTGAAAAACTTTCAGGACAGAGGGATCTGCAAGTGCAAGTCTCCTGGAACAGGTGTGGTGTGTTACAGAGGAGGTCAGGGAAGCTGGAGCTGCTTGAGTGGAGAAAAATGATGTCAAAACAGCATCAGGATCATGGAGGGCTTTAAAGGTTATGTTAAAAATTTTGGACATTACTGTGAAAGAAGAGGGAAGCATTTGTAGGATTTTGAGTAAAGGGCTGACATGATATGATGTATTTTAAAAGGATCATCCTGGCTACTGTGTTGAAAAGTAGACAGTAGGAGATAAGAATTTAAATAAGGAGAGGACAATTAGGAGTCTTTTAAATTAATGCAGGGGAGAAATAATTGTGACTTAGATGAGCACATCAATGGGGTCTATGCTGAGATATAGATTCTTGATATTACTTGCAGGTAAAGCCTGCATGATTTCCTAATAAACTTGATGTGAGATGTCAGAGAAAAACATCAAGAATGACCTTTAGGCTATCCTGACCTGAACTCCTGAAGAATTGCTGTTACTATAGTCTGAGATGGAAGAAGACCAAGAAAGAAACAGGTTTAGTGAGTAGATCACAATCAAGAGTTCAGTTCTGGTCATGTAAAGTTTAAGAAGCAATGATCATCCAAGTGAATAAGCTGAATACAGAGTATAAACATCCAGGTGGAGTCCAGAGGAGTGGTCTAGGAGAGTCTAGGTGTCAATAGTAGTTATAAATTAAATTTAAAGTATTGGGACTGGATAAACTCTTAAGAAGTGAGTACAGTTAGAGAAGACAAGTGTAAGACTCAAACCCTGAAGCACTTCAGAACTTAGAGATAAGGAATTTGGGAAAACTACAGAGATTAGGAAGAAATAGCTAATGCTGTAGGAAGAAAACCAAAAGAGATTGTGTTCTGAGAGTCCAGTGAAGAAAGAATTCAAGGAGGAATGTGGTGTATCATATGCTGGCTTTGGATAAAATAAGATACCAAGATGAGACCACCAGATCTGTGAATGTTTGGAAGTCATTTGTGACCTTGGTAAGAGCAATTTTGTAGCATGATGTGGGTAAAAGCTTGGCTGCTGGCCAGGCACAGTGGTGCATGCCTGTAATCCCAGCACTTTGGGAGGCCAAGGCGGGCGGATCACAAGGTCTAGAAATCAAGACCATCCTGGCCAACATGGTGAAACCCTGTCTCTACCAAAAATACAAAAATTAGCTGGGCGTGGTGGCATGTGCCTGTAGACCTACCTACTGGGGAGGCTGAGGCAGGAGAATTGCTTGAACCCAGGAGGTGGAGGTTGAGGTGAGCTGAGATCGCACCACTGCACTCCAGCCTGGCAGCAGAGCAAGACATCACCTAAAAAAATAAAATAAAATAAAAGCTTGGCTGATCTAGAACTCTAAAAAGAGAGTAAGTGAACAGATACTGAAAATTCTTGGTTATGCTGTAAAAGGAAGTGAAGTGCTCCAATCACTTTAGTTGTAAAAAACAAAAAGTGCCATTTCAATCATTAAAATGTCATTCTATGTATGATGAAAAACTTCCAGTTCTGACCTACTTTAGCCTTGAAAATGCTTCTGTGGCACAAGAGGGATGTGGGTGGCTTCTCCGTTTCCTTGACTCTCTCTTCTACGATGCCACTCCACTAATTAAGCTGCTGCTGGGTGCTTGGGGCCGGGGGTGAGAAAAGAAGAGAGGAGAAGGAAGGAGTTGTAAAGGTCAGGAGAGGTGACACTTGACCATCATTAATGTACTCTGACTCTTGTCTTTCAGCTTGGCAGGTATTTATGGCTAGCTTTAGAAAATATTCAAAATTGATTATTTTTTAAACTGCCTTGAAATGAGGTCCATTTTTCTTTATTCAGGCAATGTACCCTCCAACTAGTCTTGTAAATATTCTCTCACCACTCTGTTTTTGAGCAGTCTACTCCAGACAAACTGTTGAGCCCACCTTCCCACTAAGTCACTGTCTTTGGGCTAGGTTCCTCTAAGACCACATGATGGGCATGTTCATGTGGCCATTGCCATTAAAAATCTTTGGGAAAGCAGACTTTTATTAATGCAAGCACTTCTTCTCTTCAATACATCAACAGAGCAGCCAGGCAGCCAGGCAGACTTATGTATCTAGACTTTTCCAGGCTTGGGTCTGGGTGCCAAAGCTGTCTCTGCTACCCCGGCCATTTTCTTTGCTATATTCATTTGCCAAGGAGTAAATTATAAAGTTCTACATTTTAGGATAAACTGAATACTGATAACTTTTTTAATGCATACTATATCAAGCACTGTTGTAGAATTTTTACTCATATTAAATACTATATTTCTCATGACATCTCTATGAGGGAGGAATTCATTTTATACACAGAGAAAGAGAGGAACAAAAAAGTTATGTTTCCAAAGTCACAGAACTACCAAGTGACAAGCCCAGGATTTAAATTTATTCTGCTAATGGAGTCTATACTCTTAGCCAAAATTTTTCTCTGTAAGAAAGAAACTGAGACTAAAATCCACACAATTCCTAACTGACATTAAGGATAGGAAAACTAATGTTCTGAATTTAGATTCTGTATTTGTTACGTTATGCGATGGCATTAATTTAAAGAAGACTTTGGTCTTTAGTATTACAGTGGTGCAAAAGTAATCATGGTTTTCACCATGATTTTTAATGGCAAAAATTGCAATTACTTTTGCACTAACCGAATAATATCAATGTTGCCATTTGATAGATATCTTTAGTGCTATCTGTTCTTTTGTAGCAACAGAGCATGCGAGTAACATCAGGAAGTGGAAATTATTCTTGAAATTTTCCATAGTGAGCCATATGATGGGAACATCATGAAGGTAATGACCTTTCCTCACATCTACACATTTTGAAGATTCAGAATCTCCCTATGGAAGAACTAGCTATGAAGCCAATATTCTGGAAGGCACTGAGTTTCATGATACAAAGTACAGGGGAAAAAAATGAGTTGTATCAGGAAGAGCATTCAAGGGAAACATTTTCTTTATTTTCTTCTCACAACAAAGGAGAAAAGAAATGCTAGAGGGAAAAAAGGCACATAAGAATATGGATTATATATACATATAGTCTCTTAAAATCAGAAGAAATTCTCAAGGTTTGTTTGGTTGATTTCCTAGATTTCTAACATTTTCATATTTTAGGTAAACTGCTATTAATATTGAGAGTGCACGTATAATAAGCAAGATTTTTACCCCTTAAATCCATTTTTATCTTATAATTCTATGATATACTGTATATTTTACAAAATTAAGAAAAATATACATTAAAATAGAGAAATATTGAAATACAGCACTTTTATATGGAATCTAAATTCAAAAAATCAAAATGTCACATGAGTCATCTCAAAGGCTAGCATTATACTGAAATCTTACATGCTTTATAGCAAAAACACAGCTTGGCATTAAGCCATTTACTGGAGGGGTGTGAGATGGTCCTTCTGTAGGAAATGCTGCCAATGTTATTAATGACCTATCCCAAAAAGTAAGCAAGCAGAGAGAAACAAAGTCAATTCAGTTATCTTCATTCAAACCTTAGAAGTTTATGTTAAAAATCCATAACCAGAAATGATTTTCAAAGAGGAAAAATGTGGACATGTCTTTTCTTGTAGAAAATCTCTCTAGATCAACATCACTGTCAGAGTCACCTGGACAGTTAATTCAAAATGCAAAAGGTCATTACTCATTCCTAGAAAATCTGATTCTTGAGTCTATGGTGGAATTAAGCTGCTTCCTGGTTGATTCTCATTCTGATTCCTACTGAAGCCATCTGGTAACTGGAACAGATACTCCCTAACCTCAGTCTTTGTACTGTATACATGGATACTATGCAAGGATTTGATAACATCATTTACCTTATAGTTAAATAATTTTTAGATATATGGATACATAAATAGAAAAAAAAGACAGGAGACACAGTCTTACATACCCATCTTATGATAGATGGAAATATTTAATTAGCAATTTCATAGTTTTACATGTATGTATTCACAATTTTGGATTGCAAAGTAAACACCATTAAAATTCAGCATATGCTTCTCCCATAAAGTATTGCTGTATAAATGATTTATATTTAACAATTCAAAAAATAATGTTTCAGAGCATAAATATTTCCAATGAGATATTATCAAAGAGCATGCTGTTAACTATAAGAATACAGCATAGTAGGCCAGGCACAGTGGCTCACGCCTGTAATCCCAGCTTTGGGAGGCCGAGGTGGGCGGATTACGAGCTCCCATCCTGGCTAACAAAGTGAAACCCTGTCTCTACTAAAAATACAAAAAATTGGCCAGGCGTGGTGGCGGAGATTAGAATCCCAGCTACTCAGGAGGCTGAGGTAGGAGAATGGCATGAACCCAGGAGGCGAAGCTTGCAGTGAGCCGAGATGGCGCCACTGCACTCCAGCCTGGGCAACATAGTGAGACTCCATCTCAAAAAAAAAAAAAAAAAAAAAAAGATACAGCATAGTAAAGAATCTCAATATTAATATGCATAGTAAATAACATTTTTTCTGTAAAGTCATAAGCAGACATGGAGAACATGGAGACTAAGAAATCAACCTGGTATTTGAAATGTACAATGAGTCTTGAATAATGAAAACAGATTTCAAAATTTGGAGATCTGGTCAGGATGCTGTAGACAGAGGGGAATATTCTAGCAGATGGCAAGTATAAATTGAAATGTAATCTCGGCACCTGAACTTTTGTGGAATCACACATTAGCTAAAACTCAACTATAAAATCTAATTACATTTCTTTTGAAACCTTCTTTTAAAATGTTGATCAGTTATTAATAATTTAATATGTGTAACTACTAGGAATAGTAGGTAAAGACTCAGTGCAGTAAAACTCACTATAAAGTGTGTGTGGCTCATCTGTTCAGCCATCACGCTCAAGAAAATGTGCTCAAGTTCATTTGTGACTAACTGGCAAAGTTCTCATCACAAAACAAAAGCTCCAAACTGAAAAATGTTCTTAACTGTCTCTTAACTGGACTCAATTGCTTCTCTGCCATGAAATCTTTTTTTTTTAAGCAAAACATTGCTTAATCATTTTCTTTTATTGTTATGCTTAAGAATAAAAACACATAAAACTGATCAATATGGCAATCAAGTTAATTCAATAAGACACTTTTTTATTTGTTTACCACCTGTAAGTGCCACAGAGACTACCACTACAGGAAAAGACAATAGAGGAGGAAGCTCTAAGGTAAGGTTTGAGTTAATTTTCTATATTTAAAGTTTCTTTAGAAAAATGTCCTTTGGTTTGTAGACACAGTTCATATACCATTAGTTGAAGCTGTGCATAGTTATACAGGGCGGAAATGTCTCCTTTAAGGTTAACGTCGTTTTACACTTACAATGTGACTTCTTTATTTGAAATGTGGCTAGTTTCATCCAGTCTAAATTGGAGATACGTATCATTGTCTCTTTTTGCCTCAGGACAGTACTGGAAATGAGATGTTTCATTTCAATGCATTTTTCTCAGTGGAAACTGTGTAAATAAATAGATTGGGAAAGATTTAATGAAATCATCAATAGCCTGGAGCCAACTAGTGGCTCTGTGCTAAACATTTGGCATAATCAACTGTCTAAGAGATTGAAAGTCCTAGGTACTGGGATTTAAGGTTATCCTGAGCTCAGACAGGTGGGCGTGTAGAAAGGGGTTGACACAGCATCTTCATCTATACAAGCTAGATCAAATGAAGTAATAAGTGATCCAGGGCATTTTAATCAATACAGATAAGCCATTTGGATAATTCAGATGTTTAAATTTATATTTTAACAGTGAAAAAAATAGATTAGAGTTCAAGAGAGCTTAGTTTTCCTTCTGATTCTAACTCACTGGCTCCCCTTATATAAGCCAAATAATTTCTCTATGCCTCAGTCTCCTAGCAGGGAAAATATGTCCTTGGAAAAGAACAGTAGTTCCCGTACCCTTTTACTCATAATGTTAAGATTTCTCAGAACACAAAAGAGAAGCCACAAAATATGAATTTGGGAAGTTTATCCCAGCATCAACTGGCGCAGTGGTGCATTTTTTTATTGTACCTTACATTTCCGTTTGAAGGAGTCCTCCTGCTATAAAATATTTAAAACAATTGTAGTCTGGATGAGGATTTCTAAAATAACTTCCAAATCTGATGATAGCTTAGATGTCATGTAAATATATATGATGTAAAATATAAAATTCACATTGAATATATATTTCTGTGAATTCATTTAATGTGAATTGTATATTTTATATCAATATACTTATATAAATATTCTAGTATATTTATATGAATTCACTTAATATGAATTATATATTTATATTTTTAATAAATATATATTGATATAAAATATATAATTCTCAACTCTACCATTAGTAATCTTTATAGACACTACTTCTGTAACACGAGGATTTTCATCAACAACAATTAACACTGAAGAATAAGCATCACTAAAAGAGGAACAAAAGGAGGGAATATAGTGGAGATAAACTATGAAGGACCTCCATTTTGTTTGGAGAAAATCAATATGAATATTTGTATGCATTCAAGAACAAGTAGGAAACAATGTTGCTATCTGCACCTTTTGCATGGGATGGGATACAAACAGAAACGTATATATTAAAGTGAGAAAACATTATTTCTGTAGTGTGAATTAAGGCCTCAAATTATTTCTAAAGCAATATTTTAGATTTATGCAACCATGACTGTTTACAATGATCATAAGAAATGCTAGACCTAAATGTTTTGATCTGATGGAATACTGTTTTATTGAATGATGTTTGAAATGAATGAGCTTTTATCAGAAATATTTTGTTGTACAAAGACTTTCATTGCAAAAAATTTTATATATATTCGAAGAGAATCTAAAATCCATAAGTGTAATTCGTTTTCTAAATGTGAATAAGAAATTGAAATGACATTCTATTGAAAGACATTTTATGAAAATTCAACTAGGTCCAGAAAACTGGAATGACACTGTACTTCATGTAGTCAAATTCCAACTATTTAGTAGGAAATTATTTTTTAAAACTCCACAATCTAATCCTTAACTGGAATCTTGAAAATAGGATTCTCACAAAGAATTTTGTTTTTATTGTAGGATATTTCATAAAATAAATGAAGTACATTTTAGGCGTTAAGAAATTATGCCCCAGCCTGTAATCCCAGCATTTTGGGAGGCTGAGGCGGGTAAATCACGAGGTCAGGAGGAGTTCAAGACCAGCCTGGCAAAGATAGTGAATACTAAAATACTACTAAATACAAAAATTAGCTGGGCGTGGTGGCAGGCACCTGTAATCCCAGCTACTAGGGAGGCTGAGGCAGAGAATTGCTTGAACCCGGGAGGCGGAGGTTGCAGTGAGCTGAGATAGTGCCACTGCACTTCAGCCTGGGCGATAGAGCAAGACTCCGTCTCAAAAAAAAAAAAAAGAAAGAAATTATGCCCCAAATATTTATTCATTCTCACATATTTTCAATATCTAAAATGACGCAGAGAGGAGTCCTTCCAACTTGGCTAGTTTATTGTTATCAATGATGGCATCAGTTCATGTGGTTTTAACAAGGCAACCACATAGGCACAAATAATTGTGTTTTGCTAAAAAATAATTAAACAGGGCAAAAATATTGATTTAACTAACTCAACTGAACTTCAGGGTATTTCACAATACCAACTGGATGGGAAATTGTGTTTCTGAGTGCCTGCCCTTTGACAGGTTCCACTCCACTTCGTGAGAAAAAATAATTTTCATTTTGCCAATTATTTAAGATAAATGTGTGCAGGCAGAGGCGCTTATAGAAAAAGCTCTAATCAGAACACATTACAGGAGTCTGTGAATCAGACAGGTGACTTTTACTACAGGTGAGAATATATTGCTTAGAATATGAAAACATGTTAAGTCAGCTGGAGCTCTTAAATATTTAAGGTTCATTAAAAGTTTGGCTTCATAAACTAAACAACATATAAAATGTAGGTTCAGTTACATATGGGAGAGAAAAATGAAGTGTTGACCTAAAGACAAAGAAGTGTATTCAGACTAAATTAACCTAACATCATTTTCCACCTGGTCATCCAATCCAGATTGCATCTCCTAGTTAACAAGAGCTTCACTTTAGCCTCTTGGAGCCAGGAGATTGCAACAATCCAGAAAAAAAAAAAAATGGCTTTTGCCCATTTAGGAATGTTTTGACTCACCACAGTTGAGCAATCAGAAAGTCACTTGGTTAAGTAGCAGCTTTGGGCTGGTCCTCGTGCAGTGGTGTTTACAACTAATTGATCATAACCGGTTACAGATTTCTTTGATCCTTTTCCACTCCCACTGCTTTATTTGACTAGCCTTTAAAAGGAAAAAAGGAGGTTTGATTTTCAGTATTGTGACACATTAATAGATTAATGCCATAATTCTTCAGAAAATTTTAAAAATTAGATTTAATTCAGGAAAGAAATGCTAGAAAACCTGAACCTAAACCAAGACTACATCAAATGTGCTCGTGTAAACCTACCTGTGGGGTTTCTGTGCTCTTTTAGATATCTTCCAATTTTTTTTTTTACTTTGAAATGTTTGTCTAATTTAATAGCTAGATTATTGCTAAAAATTAATAAACCAGCATCTTAATCATAACTCTATAATATTCTTCTGATTAACCACTGAACAAAATTTCTTCTCCTTTCGCTCACCTCACTCTACCCACCAGGGGATAGACAAATTCCAAGTCAGAATCACATCTCACTAGAATCTAGTATTGATGAGCTCCCAAAGTGACAGAAAGGAAAGGGATTTTCCTTCCCTCTTAGTTTAGTCGATCTCTAAGGCAGATGGTTAATTCATTGCACCTGTAACCAATTAGCCATTCAAAACAACTGATTCTTCACAGTAAATTGTTGCCTTGCCAATCTGAGAAGCAGGTGCATATTCAATGGCTAAATTGCCAAGTGGTTGGATACACAAGATGAAATCATCCAAATACAAAATTCTGTTAGATAAATGTGTGGAAAAATATGATCAGTTATAATTCCATTCTAAATTAAGAATTTAATTATTTCAAGTTTTGAATCACAGCTCTGAGAATTTTATTTTTTTGATTCTGATATTTGGCTACTGAATTAAGCAGATGTTTTTTCAATGAAAATTAACTTTTTAAAAAAACAAGACTTAGAATTTTATTTTTCTTCTTTCTAGAAACAATGGGTTTTGATTATAATAAACATATTAACACATATTTCATTATATAGTGATTCATTTAATGCATCTGCTTTAAAATGGATACCTTTATATGAAAGATTTAACTTCCAGCCAAGGCACCTAATTAATTATATTGAACTGAGTATAGTATAGCCACTCTCATTCTGTGGAATGAAAATCTATGTGGCTTATTTTATTACTATAGTGCTAATATTATAAACTTCATAGACCTGAACCATTTTATCCTAGAAAATTATTCAATAAAAAATTCCATCTTTCTCACGTATGTTTTTTGAATACATGGAAAGGGTCCACTGACACTTTTTCTGGGCAGCCACTTGTCTACACAATCCAATCTAAATGTCCCAAATTCTGTCTGCATTTTCCATCAGAATTGCTTGATGGTAAGCGTATTAGTCCATTTTCACACTACCTGAGACTGGGTAATTTATAAACAAAAGAGGTTTAATTGACTCACAGTTCCACATGGGTGGGAAGGCCTCAGGAAATGTACAATCATGGTGGAAGGCAAAGGGGAAGCTGGTACCTTCTTCACAAGGCAGCAGGAGAGGGAGAGAGCGCAGGGAAACTGCCACTTATAAAACCATCAGATCTCATGAGAACTCACTCACTATCATGAGAACAGCATGGGGAAAACAACCCTTATGATCCAATCACCTCCCACCAGGACCTCCCTCAACATGTGGGGATTACAGTTCAATATGAGATTTGGGTGGCAACACAGAGCCAAAACATATCAGTAAGGAATCACTTTCAAGAAGAGTATCAGACCCTGTTCAGTTGGCACCAGGATCTTATTCATACCTTCCCATCTCAGGAATTGGCCTGGAGGGTATTTATATGGGTAGACTATGGTCACATTCCTGTAACAAATAAGGACTCTTCAAACAGTTCAACCAGAACCCTGTTTGTAGAGGGAGGAGATACTATATGAAAGGTAACCAAACTCTAACTGGATAATTCAGGTAGCATCACTATCCTACTATCCTATCTCAAAACCCAGGATAGACACATGGGAGGCATCTTTAAATTAATCCCTCCCTTTCCACATCTTACATATCTCCAATCCTTTGGATACTATTTTCCACGTTTCTGGTGTTTTCATTCTTATAGGCATTTTTCTTACGCCTTTTTTTTCCAACTGATTTATTCAAAATATTCACACATCTCTTTACTTATTTATCTAATAAATACGGACCAAATATCCAGCAAGGGCCAGGAATGAGAAAGAAAATAGAGAATGGTGAATAAGGCAGACATGTTAAATGTTTTAATGGAGTGGATAGTCCAAGGCAGATAGGGACAAATACCTTGATAATTATAATTTTGTCCTAATCCACACCTGAGAATTAGGAAGGCTTCCTGGGATAAGTGAATGTCAAAACCAAGAGCTGGTGCTGAACCCCTTCTCTAATTAAGCACAGAGATCAGAAATAATTTTCCAGGAGTGGGAATTCTGTTTCTTGTCTCTTCACTCTCAATGCCAACCTCCACAGTGCTTACAAAATTATGTCTTTAAGAATACTTCAGGTCACCGTCATCCTCTCTTTAAAGATTCACCATTGTCTACTGAAGAAATTACAAACCTGAGATTAAATTTACAGTCTCATTTTTTTCAACAAAGAAACTATAGTTCTATTTCACTGTAGTATCAACTCTTTGCTGAACAACAGGAACAGCTAGCCTGTTTTCTTTTGTTGCTTATTCTAGCAACTTATACTGGAAAATTCCTACTTATTATCTAAATTTCTGTTAAAATATTATGTTCTCTGAAAGCTTTCCCTTACCCCTCCATTCAGGCTTCATTGCTTATTTTTCTGATATTCCACATCCTTTGCTCCTCTATTATATAGCACCTATTTTATTCTGCTCCATGTATTAGTTTTTCTTTATCGGAGAAACCTAGGCTGTACTAGCTATATAAATACCCCCATCCCACTCCTCTAGGCTTCCTAGTTTCATATCCCAGTCTACAAAGATTTCTTCCCTGTGACTTTGCCGCCACAGTGAAAATGGAATTGCCCACAATTTCCTGTCTCCCACCAAGTAGCAGGAAAAACTTGAAACCAGACACCTGCAATGATATTCCTCACTAAGCTCCCCTTCAGCATCTCGAATTTGACCTTGCAGATATGTTATTTCTCTTCTCTTCCCCACTGCCCTGAGTCTCCTAGCATCCCCTTTTGTCCCCGCTCTCTAGTATGTCTGATGAACTCCCATCAAGAATCACAGCTCCTCTGCCAGAAATGGAAAAAAACTTTCCTCCAAATATAAGGTTTCACAGAGATGGACTTGTCTATAAGAGATTATAGATTTTTGAAAAAATCCCCCAAAATGCATTTGCTTTTTGAGGTTTAAAGCTCCCCTAAATAAGAAACTCATACCAGGCTAAGGGAAACTGGGCTTTTTCTAATATTCTTCTGCTCTTAGAAGAATGGTCCCTTAGAAATTCCTTGACATTTAGGATTGTTACTGAGAACCCTCCCCAGGGGTTGCATGGATGCCCCGCATCTCAACCTTGGATAAGGGTGTTAATATTTGAAAACAGCATTTGAGACCAGCCTGAACAACATAGTGAAACCCCTTCTCTACTAAAAATACAAAAAACTAGTGTGGCGGTGGGCACCTGTAATCCCAGCTACTAGGGAGTCTGAGGCAGGAGAATCACTTGAACAAGTGATTCTTGTTTGCAAAGTTTGCAGTAAGCCAAGATCGTGCCATTGCACATCCAGCCTGGTCAAGAAAAGCAAAACTGCATCTCAAAAAAAAAAAAGAAAATAGCTAACTGTTAGTCATAATATCTCTTTTATAGTTGTCCTAAGAAATATGACATGCCTTTTTGTAACTCAAACCCCTGGGAATTTTGTGACTCTTGATACCCCAAAACCATGGACATAGGCTCTGGTTACACACATCTTCCCCTGCAACTACATTATGCCAGATTCTATTTTGCAAGTGCCTTTACCCAGTGGAAATCTTGCCTATGATGGTGCTTTGTGCACATTAGACACCTAATAAATGCATATTCAATTGAATTGCCCAGGAAAAAGGCATATGGCACAGATGACTAAAAAGTGAAAATCCTCTGCAACATACTACATTACCATTTAAGGGGGAAAAATCTTGTTAATGTACACGGTGACAAGTTTATGTCCTGAAACATGAGACCTGATTAGCTTTTTATATTTTAGCTCTCATAACTACCAGTTTTATTGCTGGTCATAAAATTATCCAGCTCATTTTGAAATTCAGCTGCAAAATAGGACCCTTTGATCTCCTGTGATTATACCAGTTTATATGAACATACGACTCCATGTTAGGGGTCTTACTCAAATCAGGGTTTGGGAACATTAGGAGGTATATCGAAGAAGTCTCATTTGAGATCTCAGGGCCAGGAACTCATTGGGCATATCTGGCAGTGGTAACAGCAAAAAGCGGAGTGTTTCCCCTGGATGGCATCATGTTGGCTGAGATTTTTTAGTCATGATAGCAAATCATGGATTCAGTTTTTATATCTCAGTGTTAGTATCTTAGCATCAGTTTCGTATGTCAGTCTTCATAGTCTTGGGCTGTACCCCTGAACAGTTGTTCACAAATACCTGTCATTCACTAAGAACACGGGGGAACAACTTGAAACAATTTTTTTGATAAATACCTGTTGAGCAATTACTAGGGGTTCTGGGGTTATTCCGTAGATAAGAAACTAGCAGCAACACTCTAGTATTGAAATAAAAGGAAAACACAAAGACTTTTAACAGACCATGGAATGGCTGACATATCTCAGATCCTCTTCTTGCCTAATTTGCTGCTATGAGATCTGTGATCCATTGAGAGAAAATTAAGCACTGGGAGATATTCACAGCCGGGAAACTTCTGGGCAAATGATTGTAGTCCTGATGCTCCTACTCTGCACAAATATGATTTTATTTGCTTCCTTGCTTATCTACATTTTCAGCATCACTTCTCGGGATAACAACACTCCAGCTATATGAAAAATAATATGGACGCTAAGCAATTTTTTCCTCATATAAAGGTAATTACTTTAGGTGTGTTTTTATTTTGTTTATTTTAATTTAGACATCCCTCATTCATATCTTGTATTTTTAGGTACATGAGCTATCTCATGGGTAAATCACCAACAACTCAGGATTACAGAGCAGACACACATGCACACTTGTATATGCACACACACGAGCGTCGGTTGTTTTATCATTGCAAATAGCTCTTAGTTATGCACAACCTGTCCTCTTCCTCATTTTCCCATTATGCAGGCTTCCCTGCCACATACGTATTAGAAATATTTAGAAATACAAGGGTTTTCATTGGATCTCTCTATGAGAGATTCCCTATCGTTGATCTGATCAATGACTGGAAGAGAACGCAGAGAGTGTCAGGGGGTCAGGATCATGGAGGACTCTGGTAGTTGTAGGAGGGCTGGGAATTGTGGTTAAGGCTAATGTGGATTGTGGCACCTCTAGGCATTGGTCCAGAGGACAGAGCCTTCATTGGATTGGTCCACCCACTGACACATAAAGTCATGTGGTAGAAATTTTTCACATTAGCTTAGGTTTAAAAAAAAAAAAAAAAAAAAAAACTGCAGCCTTCTTACAGACATAACAGGAAAGGAAATCTCCAATATGTGACATTTCAAAATTCTGCCTGCTCTGCCTTCCTTACTGCACAATCTCTTAAGTAAGAGTAAGAGCCTAGTTTTATGCGTTAGTCTAGTTGCAGTAAAATGATAGCTAATTGGAGGAAATGATATTGATTTAACATTTGCTAAATCTGTGAAACAGACCTATCTGCCATCTTTATGGTGAAATGGTACAAAAACAATGTCATACACTGGTCATGTATCATTGCATCTGGGTTCTTATCTCTTGTAAATTCTTCCACCCTCTAGTATTCTGCCTTTTCGAGCTTCAAAAAATTACACAAATTTTTATAATTAGAGGACTTCGGGTAGGTCAGGGTCTTTATAAATATACTGAAGTGGACTTCTCTCAAGTTTCCTTGCAGAGTTTATTTTCAGACTTCTTGGACATGAAACAAAAAGAGACAGGAAGCCTCACAGATAGATTTTGCATCAGACAAAATACTTTTGAAATATGAACTAGATCACCTCTTTTTTCAAAGGTGGGGAATGTCTATCTCTCTTTTATTTGTTGATTTTCTAGTTTGCGGTAGTTGGGAGACCTTATATTTCAAGTCCCTCAGGACTTTTCCTGCTGGTTGAAGAAACTCATGTCAAAATGGACATTTCCTAATAGGAGAGCACTAAATTGTCTATGAAAACAGATTATAACTCTATATTTACTGTTATAAAAGCATAAAAGCATGCTGCATGGAGAACCTTGAATTTAATGGAAGGAGAAGAATATAGAGTTTTCATAAATTTATTTTTTGCAGTTATCTCCCTTTACCTTTGTAAAGCAGAAAACTAAGCTCCTTTTGTATCAGCTTGGTATTTATTGACATATTAATACTTAAAAACACTAAGAATAATAACTGAGATGGAGAGAGAGAGAGACAGACACAGTGAATCAAAATCTTTTCTACCCACATGTATTAATCAAAATATGCTAGGTGTGGTAACAAAAAATAATCTTGTGGTTTTCCACAGCAATGATTATTGTATAGACAGATTCTGCTATATGTCCAGCATAATCTCTCCCTACTTGCAGTTAGGAGCTTCACCATCCTGTAGCTGCATCATCTGCAACACTGAGCTTCCTTGATCAATAAACAAGAACAGACTGTTGGAGGCCTCATCCTACCAATTCAACGCTATGGCCTGTAAGTGACAAAAACCACTTCTACTGACAGCCTTTGGCTGTCAGAAATTGGCTGCATGGACAAGATTAGATGCAAGAATAAATTATGTTTATCCTCTTATTTGCCCAGAAAGAGAAGTAAAAGAAATATGGGTAAGCATTCCCACTCCCACATTATCTACCTCTGTGTTTCTCAAATTACATTTTCTTGTCCAGAGCCAATTTTTTTTTTTTAAGCTAGTAAGGAGATCAGGGTAGGGAAGTGGAGACATTATCAGGGGAGGGAGCGAGTTGGGGTGGTCTCAAGCAGTTTGTTTATATCTCAGAAATGGTGGTAGAATTAAAGTCACCAAAAAACACAAGCCCTCATCTCCACTGCTGTTCTATTTCACTTCCCTGTGCACATACGCCTCATAATCTGAAGCTACAAGGCAAACTCCTTATTATGCCTTATAGGACTATAGGATTAATAGATTTGCATATAGAAATATTGTTTAATATTTGCATTTTAATATGTAATATGTAATCCTCAATTGTTTCTTGAGTAATTACTCTAATATTATCTCTACTATTTTTATTACTACTTCTACTGTTATAATTACTTACTATTAGTTAATATTTATTGGTCTACTGAGCTAAGCAATTTAAATATGCATAATTTTCAAAACAAACATACAATGTAAGTGTAATTATCCCCATTTACTGTAAATAAATTGGACAACAAAGAAATTTATAATTTGTTAAATAATGAATCCAGATCTATCTGACTCCAAAGTCCGTGATGTTCAACACTATGGGTAACATACAGAGTAATAGGGATTTATTCTCATGCCATCATCTGTAATCAGCTATCTTAATACCTAAGGTTCTAGGGTGGCAGGGTAGCTGTGCTAGTTGCTGAAAACGTTTCACACAGAACTTAACATGTTTTGGGCATTTGAGTGTTTAATAATGCCAACATATAACACTATTTTTTTAAGTAAGATGAAAATGCATCTTGACTATTGATTTAAATTTAGATCTGTTTTCCGAGTGTCAAAGCAACTTACTAGAAATACATCATTTGCAAATACTGCATCATCACTACACGTTGCCATGAACATCAAGTCGCTTCACTAATTCAAGTGTTGAAATCAATAATTGATTAAAACTCAAAGAGGCTAAGAATTATCCCTTTATGCCAAATTGGCTGACGATAGCCTGCACATGTAATTACAGGTGTGTGTGTGAGACAAGGTAGCTATATATTTTCTCACATTGAAAAATCACGTCTCACTCATAAAGTAGATGGAATAGTGCTCATGACTTCCAGGACACTTTCATGTTTCCGAAAATTCAGTAATTTCTCAATTATTTTTTTTTTTTTTGAGACGGAGTTTTGCTCTGTCACCCAGGCTAGAGTGCAGTGGCTCAATCTCGGCTCACTGCAGCCTCTGCCTCCTGGGTTCAAGCAATTCTCCCACCTCAGCCTCCCAGGTAGCTGGGATTACAGGCGCCTGCTAGCATGCCTAGCTATATATAGTTTCGCCATGTTGGCCAGGCTGGTCTTGAACTCCTGACCTCAGGTGTCAATTACTTTTAATTGGAAAAACTGCAGTTACATTTGCACCAACCTAATATCTCTTGTTTGTTCACTGCCAATCCCTAGAATCTAGCAAACCAATGTTTGCTGTTGTTTGATATTATGTAAGATTTCAAGTCAATCTGTTATAAAGGGCAAAGAAATTTTAAAGTCTATTTACTATTAAGTCAAATTTCATGAAATGTACAAGATCATTTTTCACTGATCTTTCACTGAACAATCTCTCAATTATCCTTTCTTCTCTGTTGTTTGCTTAAAATAAAAATATAAAACTCTGAATAAATTATTCATTATTATGACGTGTCTATAAAGAAAAAATTGAAGTTTAGAAGAGTACATGTATTTATACCCAGTTCTTTTTCCTAACACATTTGAAATAGTACATGAAATATATACAGTGCAATAGGATAGAAACATCATAAGGGCAGGTGAAAGGGAAAAATAAGGTAAACAGAAAATCAGACTCAAGGCAAAGTTACCCAAAAATGTACTGGGATTTTTAAAAATATAAGTTTTGAATTTGACTATGAGCTTCCTAATAGCCAAAACAAAGTAAAAGATACTATCATTTTATAATTTACTAAGTTTATAAGGAGATGAAATACAATTGGCCAGAAAAAGCCAGATACACACAGGAATAAAAGTGTTCACTCGTTGGAGATCACGTACTTATTGAAACCATGTTGCCAATAATATCTTTGTTATTCTTTTTCATAGAAGAGATTGCTTTCCAGGACATAGAAGAAAATTCTATAGCATCTCATTACTTTAGAATCACATCTCAGTTTTGAAATAAAACCATATTCAAAAATTACCCATAATATGCACCAGACTCATTTTTAAATGACATTTGATGGTTTCTGAAGCCCAAATCCAACTTCAAAGTCTCTATATATGATAAAGCATATTCAAAAAGTGAGTGACAGACTTTGAAAGCCATTTTCAAGAAAGTATTCAGAAATATTTTAAGTGATGTTGATATCATAGGAAGACACGTATAGCATATAGGCTCTTAAGGTGAATATTTGAGGGAGATAATGCTTATTGTTATTATTCATGTGACTGACCAAACAATCATATTCGATTGTGATTGTACAATATATGGCAGACCAGGGTGAGCACTGTGATTGCATAGTTTCTTAAATAGCGTTGGGGTACAAATAATCAGTCCTTGCCTTCGATAAATATATTCTTAGGTTTTTGCATGCTTCTGTGTGCAGATATTTATTCTCCTTTAAATGAAGTAAAAATTCCTTTAGCAAAGAAAACTTAATTCTTATTTCTTTTTACCCTTTGCCACTAACAAAGCTCCTATTAGGTGCCAAAAAATACTAATTAGATAAATGAACTCTGCTCTGATCACCTGAAACACTAGCAAACTGCCTGGCTCTCCTGTCACACGGCACATGCAGAAGTGGCCTCACAACATATTTCCACATATTTTTTCTTGAAAAGGCAGCAAGTTAATAAAAAAGAGATGTGAAATATATGAAATATTTTTATAATGTCCTTCTTCTATGCCTTGGATAAATGCTAATCCGAGATTCTGTAATCTGCATGACTGGTATAAGTGACGGAACACATAATTTTCTGATATTATTTTCTCAGGCTATTAAGCTCTGCCCAACCTTTTAAGTATATTGAATTGGAAGATCATGTTCCCACCATTTCAGGAAATTGGTAGTGTCACAGCCCAACAACTTGAGAAAATAATGTTATTTTAGACCGGAGGTAAAAAGAAGAAATGGCAACAAAGAAAGTATGTAAAGCCTCAGACTGGAAATAGTAAATACTTGCCCCGGTGATGTAAAATTTTGTCAGTGTGAGAACAGCAGCACAAAGAATATCCTTGTGATTTATTTAACTAATGAGCTTTCTTTATAGGTCTCTTATTTATACGAGCAACTGTAAATGTTAACCCTTTGGTTTTTTTCATAAATGAACACTTTCCTCTGGTAGCAGGGGTTGGGGACTGGAACGGCTCTGTTGACAATGGAAGTCCGCATTGAGATCATTTAGAAAATAAGTGAAATGGGATAGGTAAAGGCCTATTTAATGAAGACAATTTAATAAAAACCACAAAGGAATGTATTACACAAACAGATTTTATTATAGAAAAATGGAATGCGCTGGAAGAGTGATTTTTAGACTTGGTGATCTTTCAGAGGAAAAAGAGTGAGTACAAACTTTGCAACCTGTTGGCTCTTCCTAATTAGAGGTGTGACTAGAAGGGAGATGGCAAAGCAGTCTCCAAATAAGTGCTGGTTTCCTAGCAACCATGGCTCCAGTGGCTTAACCAGATTTTAAATGCAAACAATCAACCTCAGTACTAAGCCTGAAAGGGATGTTAAGTAAATATCATGGGCAAACTGCAATTCTTCCAAAGAAATGCTCTTCGGAGGCTGTGGGCTGCACTACCAGTCTTTAAAGCCCTCCACTGTGCTCAGGTGCCTGCAATGGGCTCTAAGTCAGCATTAAGTTACATTATGCCTAGACCGTCCCTGATACGCCGATGACCCTACTTATTTCCTGCCTGAACACAAGGCTACATGTGGCACAAACAGACTACAGAATTGAGGTGGCTTAAACCTGATGTGGATCGACGAGAATTTTTTTCTACTTCGTATTTTGCAGCTTATTTTATTTGATTGTGAGTATATTCTTTACAAGCTGTTTTTTAATAAATTTTCCGTTTTGTTCAGTAATATCTTTTCCATTTTCCAAAACACTACTTCAAGAGGTCACTCAATCTAAAATTCTATATGATGTCTTAAGATATCACAACCCTTAAACGCAGCATATGTTTTCAAAACACGTCTCATTCATACAAATTGTTAAATAGAACATTGGTTTGAGCAGAAATTAAAAATGGGTCAATATGAGCACCTCTAGAACCTCTTACTTACTGGCATAATATGCCCCAATACTTTATGGGCAAATACGGAATTTCTAGAAACATGACTAGAAAGCAATTGATTATCTGAGCTAGTTCTCTTGCAGAAGAGGTCTCTGACTGTCCTCAAGGTAAAACTGGAAGACAATCAAAGCCATGGAATAAACCCAGGAGCCTTCAATCTGAATGCATGATGGATACTCACCATTCGACACAGAAGACCGATCACAGAAGTAGTAGTACATTATCCTGTTGCAGGGTGGGTACAGAGGCCTCTTTTAGTAAACTTTTCTTATTAAACTTTTTATTTTGAGATGATTGTAGATTCACTTACAGTTGTAAAAAAATAATAAGAGAGATCCTATATATCCCTTATCCAGTTTCTTCATTTGAAGGGACTTTTAAACCTTGGTGTACTCAGTACAACCAGGAGCCATCAGTAGAGTTGTAATCAAGTAAGTCAGCCTCCAAAAGAGCTCTCCACTTTAACAGTTCCACATATGAGCTTTGTTTGCACGAAATGGTAACTACCACTCTTGGGAGAGTACTGTTAACAGGTAGTTCACCAGAGAGCTCTATTGAAAAGGTCTGACCAGTAGATTCAAGAGGGGAGGTCTCTGAGAGTCAAGAGGTGACTCTTGTCCTTTCTTTTTTCAGATTTGAATCAAATGGTTTTGGGGGCTTAGTGGGCATTAATAAACTATAATATTTGGTGATGTTGGATAAAGTGGTTTGGCTAAACCACTTTAATTCTTAAATTTTTCTACTGCAGGTAGGATTCCCTTGGAATACATGGTTGTAAAATTGGAGATTGGAGATCATTAGGCAGGATATTTATTAGGGAGAACTCCTGGGATCAAAACCTATGGAAGGGAAGGGAAGTAAGGCAGGAAGGTAAAGAAGCGTTATTGGACAATGAAGAAAATTGTGCTGCATGCAGATCTAACAAAGTCCACAGCCAACATGGAGGGCCCCTTCAAATTTGTTTTGCCTGCACTGAGGATGCCAGACCTTTATGTTCTTGCATTGACCAGTCACTGGATGCAAGCTGTTTGTTAGAAGGAAATGTGATCTTGGACAAAAGAGCTCTTTCCAACCCAAGGCAATTTACAGAAAGAATCAAAAGCTGAAGTCTGTCAGATAGTATTGCTCCCAGAAGCTATAGAAAATAATGCCTCATTTCTAAAGGAGAAGCCAGGCAATACATAACAGCATCCACTATATTTCATCCATTGTACTGCTCAGTTCTATTCCTTTACATATGTTCTGACTTGGAATGACAAGGGTTATAGTTACGATGAGCTTTTTCATTTTAACTGGCTTTGACTTATAGGAAGAAGATTTATGGGATGAATTAAGCCCATGCAACTGTAGCTGATCTTAGGGCTGTAATTAATCCTCAGCATCTCTCTTCTTTATCCAGGCAGAAAAAAATCAAACCAGTGTATTTTTCTAGATTTTCCTAATCTTCAATTAGCACCTCAGCTGGTCTTCGGTCTGTGGTCACCATGTGCCTCCAAGACTGTGGCTGCTGTTCTTGTCCATGCAAGTGGATCGCTTGGGAGCCAAACACAGAATTCTGTTTCATAAATGGAAGACATCAGCCTTACTTCCCCCTGATGATCAGAGTCCATTTCCTGCCAGGATTGTGACTCTTTGTGTTTACTGCTTGTCCCTTATCCAAAGGAGTTCAAGGTGACCAGGAGAAAACCACAGTTTATATGCAATAGGACTTTTGCTATGTCCATGGTAAAAGTGTTCTCCCTTTGGGTATCAGGAGTTTTAAATCTGCAAAACAGAGCCAGGCGCGGTGGCTCACGCCTGTAATCCCAGCACTTTGGGAGGCCGAGGCGGGTGGATCACAAGGTCAAGAGACCGAGACCATACTGGCCAACATGGTGAAGCCCCATCTCTACTAAAAATACAAAAATTAGCTGGGCATGGTGGCGTGTACCTGTAGTCCCAGCTACTAAGGAGGCTGAGACAGGAGAATTGCTTAAACCCAGGAGGTGGAGGTTGGAGTGAGCCGAAATTGCATCACTGCACTCCAGCCTGGTGATAGAGTGAACCTCTGTCTCAAAAAAAAAAAAAAAAAAAAATTAAAAAAATTAAAAAATCTGCAAATCAGGATTGTGTACACAGAAAGCACAAAATTTCCATAAAGCACAACTAGGAGTGATAAAAAATGTGTGCAGACAGAAACACAAATAGAAGTGATATTAAAGATGGCTACCCTTGCTTCAATCCCTCGATTCTCGAACTCATGTATTCCACCTATTAGGGACAGGAAACTATGTAAAGGCCATCTATCTACTCATGTTGAGATTGGCAAACTATGGCAAATAGGCCAAATCCATCCTATTTCCTGTTTATATAAACAAAGTTTTACTGGAACACAGTTATAACCATTCATTTATATATTATTTAAAGCTGTTTTCACACTACAATTGCAGAGTTGAGTAGCTGCCACAGAGATCATATGGCCTGAAAACCTAAAATAATTTTTATCTCACTCTTTACAGAAAGTTTGCCAACTCTTGATGTTATGTGTATATCGCATCCTGGAAAGTGGTGCCCCGTCTTTGTAAGGAATCATCTCCAAGCTAGCACCTCAGTTTACCTTCACCAGTCCATTTTGTTGCTCTATCATGCCGATAGCTTCCGGGTGGTATAGTGTGGAGTGTGGCCAAAGGATTGCATGGTCATGTGCCCACTCCCACACTCTATTTCTGCAAAGTAGGTGTCTTCATCTGACGTGATATTGAGTGAGATCCTATTTCAGTGAATCACTTTGTAAACCCTTGGTTAGTGGTGCAGGTTGACATCCTGCAGTCAGAAAAGGCAAACTTATACCCAGAAAATATACCAATTATTGGGAAAATGAATTGTTGACATTGGAGGGTAAAGGGGGTCAAATGTAGTCAACTTACCACAAAATGTCTGGTTGGTTTTCTTGAGGATGCTGCTGCATTAGGGATAGATTATTTGTCTGTGTTGCTGACAGGTTGAAGGGTCAGTAGTGGCAGTAGATAGATAAGTCTTGATGAGTTTGAGCCCATATTCTTGACTCCACGCAGAGCTCCCATCCCTCTCAAATGGCTATTTCTTTTTTGTGCCCTTTGTGCAAGCACTGGAGTGGCCAATGACAGAGGCTGGCTGACATTAATTGGCTGGGTCATTTTGTCTCTTCAGCTGTTTAATGCCTCTTTCATAATGACAGCTTTTTGGTGACATTAGCATGCAATATAAAAATGCTGACATTTTATGTCCACTATGCAAGGTACATCTGTGTGCCTCTATTCCATTACAATGTCCCCTATCTTCCATTTTTTTCTTCTTTCAGGCCCTGGCCTTCTAGCCAAGCCATTTATTCCTGCTCATGAATCTCTATGTATTCTTGCTTTGGATTGCTTCTCTTTCCTCATAAAATGGATGAATAGGTATACCAAATGCAGCTTGCCCATCAACTTTCCCTCACCATTGGATTTTTGATGCCTCACCCTCCCACCTCCCCCACCCCTTGAGTGAGACAGTAGCATAATCATGGTCTATTTTTGGCTTGACTAACAAGACAACATATTTGTAAATAAAGCTTTGCTTTATTCCTCCTCCAAATTCCTATGTGGCCATAAATGAAAGCAGAATAAGAGGTTCTGATACAAAAGCGAATGACATGGTGGTGGGGGTGGAGGTGAAGTGAGTGGTTCGGGGAGAGATAGAGGGGGTATCTAAGTCATCTGCTTAAGATACAAGCTTAAATCATGTTTTCTGGCATTGCTTATGCATTATGACAGATACTCTACTTCCATATTACAATAGATTCCTGATGGGCCTACTTATCTTAATTCTGGATCTAGCTTCTGAGGAAAACTCTGACCACATGGTCATTTGATGAACCACAGTGAACTACTCTATTTTTACCAGTGTCCAGTGACAAAAAGGAGAAACTGTTCAAAAGGCATATAATTCTCTGTAAAGCATTGCTCCAGAATAAACTACATTATGTTTCTTCTACTGAGATGTACCAAATGCTCCATATGTGTTTTCCTACCACAGGATCTCCAAAACAGTATAAGGCCCAAGAAGCAGAGAGGTTTGTACTGCAGTCTGGCTCCGCTGCAGATCTTTCCTTCTCTGAGACCACCTACGTCATACTTTAAATGGGCAGAGCAGTTTGTGTGTGTGCATCTTTTATAACTGCCTCAGTGTTATTGTGAAAATTGAAATGTTTTAATACATAAAAGTGATTTATTGGCCTGGCACTGTGGCTCATGCCTGTAATCCCAGCACTTTGGGAGGCTGAGGCAGGTGGATCATGAGGTAAGAAGTTCGAGACCAGCCTGACAAACATGGTGAAACCCCATCTCTACTAAAAATACAAAAAATTAGCCAGGCTTGGTGGCAGCCTCCTGCAATCCCAGCTACTCAGGAAGCTGAGGCAGGAGAATTGCTTGAACCTGGGAGGCAGAGGTTGCAGTGAGCCGAGATCGCGCCATTACACTCCAGCCTGGGCAACAGAGCGAGACTCCGTCTCAAAAAGAAAAAAAAGTGATTTATTGTAGTAATATGTTTTAATTCAAACATATTGTACCTAACTTATTACTATATATTTTTCTGAATTTAATGTGATATGTGAAGTTTTATCCTTCATTATAATTGTGAGATGATTCTAAGTTACATGAACATATGTTCTTCATTCAACAACTTCCCATAGCTCAGAGACTAGAGTTTTAGTAGGTACTCATTAAATATTTGTTGATTAATGAATAAAACTCCCACTCATAATAATCAATAATCAATATCAACAATGATCAATCCACAGATAAAGTTGAGTCTTACTACATATAAGAACTACATGAGTTGCTGCGACAATATACTAACCATCATATTGACTCCAAAGGGAACTTGGTATTAGAGACATAGTATCTTAGGGCTGGAAGGGGCTTTCTCATTCAATTTAGTCACCTTTTGCAAATGAAATAAAGGCTCAGAAATGGATAGGGACATGTCTGAAATGATGTCCAACTGGTTGCATAGCTACATCATAATCTAAACTTCTCAACAACCCTCATAAACATTGTTTCCATTATAGCATTCTATATGTCATTATTTCATTCTTCTGGTTTGCTACAGAAGTAAAATGTTTTCCAGGACAGTATAAGATCTTAAAAATTTTTCCATTAAAAACACACATTAAAGCTTATTAACCTAATTTTCAAATTTGGAATATGGTGGAAGGAAGACTAATAAACAGTCATTTTGATATAAAGGAGTAAGGGGAAAAAAGTTTTAAAAACTAACATCATGTTCTTGCAGTATTGAATTAAATTTCATGTTACTTCTGTTTTCAGATACCATTCTTATTTCCAAACCAGTACCCAGTAAAAGACACATAATTTGTTAATTCATTTTTCTTTCTCCTTCCCTAATTCCACCAATTTTAACTTTCTTATATGAAATAAGTATGCAATGTATCTCGTAGGCAATGTGATTTATCTTTTCCAATTTCCAAATAAATAATGATTAACAAAAACATGTATCTAAGGCCTGATTTGAACTTAACAGAAAAATATCACCATAATCAGTTTTACATGTTATAAAAAATGTTTCAAATGCTATTAAAAATATTTGATTTTTAAACACTTAGATAATTTCTAAAAAAATTTTTCCTACTGATTATTTAGACAGGATGTTAGAAGACCTTAGGGGAGATATTAAAATCAGATGAAATAGTGATATGAGGTCATATCTACTTAATGCAGTAATAAAGGAAATGAGAAATGAGAAAACCTGAAATATATAAATATAAGGCTGTCACGACAACACACAAGTAATAATCAAAATATTTTCTGTGGCATTTGAAAGCCAACAAAAATTGCAAGGTATTGAGAATGAGCAAAAGGGTGGTTTTCTTGAAAAACTTTGACCAAAGATTTGAAGAAAATTAAGTTAACAAAGATCTTAAAATAATAATACAGTGGGAGAGTTTTTTATAGATGGCTCCTCCCAAAAATGATTTTTTTCACCATTTCAAGCGGTAAAAAAATATTTTTGGATGGAAAAAATAGAACCTAGCAATAGAATTCTCCACATAATCATGTCACAGAACTGCCCCCAGATATGTCAAATATATCTTGGCTTATGTTCTAGAATTTTTGAGATCATTAACTTAATGTGCTTAAGTGCCTTAAAAAAGAAATTGGTTATTTTCTACATTTCCATTTAAGGTTATATTCTGATTTCAGTCTTTTTAGATTGATGAAACCCTATTTGCTATATACTATGGATACCTTTTAACATTATAAAGTAATATATCCAGCATTAATAAGGAATTTTTACAAATGGAATAGGGTCATATGGTTTTATTAAAATGAAGAGATTTTGCTTCTAAATGCTAACCATTAGGAGCATAACCAATGTGTTGGGCAGAATGTGTTTTAATGTATACTCACATAGATTTGGTATTCTTACTTTTTAATAAATTGCCTTTGTAACACAGAGACCTCTTCTCTTACTCAGAGAAACTGGAAAAACCTTGTGATCTTGATGTTCTGCTCAAGCATTCTAAGAGAATTGACAATTTCCATCAGTATCCAAGCTACTTTAAAAAAATTCAGCATCTTTTATATCTCCACACCTAATTATTAAGTGTCAATCATAACTGACAGTAGGACAACAAAGCCACACAATTACACAGAAAGATATACTTTCAAATGTCATTCTAAATTTATGAAATTGGAGTTTTACAGTCCTCTTATGAAAATGTCAAAAAGTGCTGACCATAATTTTTCTGTAAGTGGTAAATACAACAAATTCACATCCTTAATGCATTCATCTTTTATTCTTACAAACTGATAAAAATCCTAGAGTCGAATTCCTGTCTTTTTATTTATTGAGGTGGAGATGCTTATTTCATATCTATCGGACATCTCAACACCTATAAAAAGTGACAGGTGTTAAATCATGTTGTGTTGTTGACTTATAAAATTAATTTATTATCATAACAAAATATTAAAATGTTATAGAAGAAATTAAAGATAAAAATCTAGCCCACTCCCAAGCTTAGGCTGCCCAATTCCTATCCTCAAAAGTGATTTGGATAAACTAAAAGATAAATTTATTATTAATCATTTTGGCTGATCCTTTCAGACAGAGTCTATGAGTTTTTATATATGTATATATATATATAATTTATGGTTGTGTTTATATATAAATATATATCAATTATATATAAATATATATAAATTATATATAAATACACATAAATGATATATATAAATAAATTATATATAAATATATAATAATATAAATATATAAATAATTTATATAATTTATTTATAAATATATAAATAAATTATATAAATATATAAATTATATAAATTATTTATAAATATATAAATAAATTATATATAAATATATATAAATTGTATATATAAATATATATAATTATATATAAATTATATATAAATATATATACATTATATATAAATATATATACATTATATATAAATATATATAAACATATATGAACACACTAGATCAAAAAATATATCCTGTTCTGCAATGTTTCCTGATTTTACTATTTACATATAATCTTACTATATTTTATTTGTACATATAATGCTGACTCATTCTTCTAAGTAACTGCACAATAGTCTAATGTATGTTAGTTTCTCAATTTGTTTCATGAGTCGCTTAGATGTATTTCCAGTTTTGATATTAGAAACAATACTCAATATTGTTTGGCTATACCTTTGATCATGTATCTTTTCATACCTCTGTGACTGCATCTGTAGGATAAGTTCTTAGTTGGGAAATTTCTGTGTCTAAGCATTTATTTGTTTATAATTTAAATTAGTTAATTTAACATTATGTTGGCACTATATTAGCTAATTATGATATATTTTTAATATAGTCTCCATATGACGCTTTTTTTTTTTTGAGACGGAGTCTCGCTCTGTGACCCAGGCTGGAGTACAATGGCGTGATCTTGGCTCACTGCAAGCTCTGCCTCCCGGGTTCACACCATTCTCCTGCCTCAGCCTCCCAAGTAGCTGGGATTACAGATGCTCGCCACCATGCCCAGCTAATTTTTGTATTTTTAGTGGAGATGGGGTTTCACCACATTGGCCAGGCTGGTCTCGGACTCCTGACCTCAGGTGATCCGCCTGCCTCGGCCTCCCAAAGTGCTAGGATTACAGACGTGAGCCACCGCACCTGGCCATATTATATATTTTGAAAGTTTAAAGTTAATCAACAATGGAACACAAGATAAATAATATTTTATAAAACAAAAATCTCAAACCCTAAACAGGGAAAATGATTTGGGAAAATAGTCGATAGCCAACATTGAAATTAAATTTTTAAAGAGCACAACCTAATGAGAATAGCAATCACTATTTTGTAAAATTTAAAATGAAAATAAAATTAGAACTTGAGTTATATCAAGATAATTAATTGTTAGAAAAACACCTATAATGGGTGTGGTAATTTCTTGAATTTTCAGTATTTGTAAAGCAATGAAAATTATTTTATGCCAAATGAAATAACATATATGTCATCAATGCAGACAGTAATTAGCCAAACATTTGAATGATTCATGTTTAAAGCTATTGAAATGGAAAAATTTCTTGAAAATGTGAAAAATTATTTTCAATTTCAACGGTTTTAACACGATAACGTGAAGTAAGTCTGGAACAAAGCTGATAGATACCTCCTAATTTCTAACCATTTTTGCTGATGTAGAACAAACATATATTTCAGTAACATATTCTGTTTTCTCCTTCACTCTTTTACTGGCTAATGTGGGGAAGGGAGACTTACTTCAGATGTTTGAAAATTATCATCACTATAATTAATTATTTTTGCATACATATATAAAGAAATGAAATAGTATGTCAATTGGAAGAATTTAAGATCTAGAGTACACAGCACTAGGCTAGCCGCTGTGTAGTAGTCAACATTTATTAGATCTCCAATTTCCCAAACGTATAGAAATTTCCCAAATATATAGAAAGTACAGCTGTGTTCGACTCTTCTAAAAAAATGAAAGAAAAAATAAATAATCCATAATCTTCCAGAAGGTTTTTCAATATTTTTTCCTTTAACAGATAGATCTAAAAATATTCTTTGAGATCTCCCTTATCTAACTTCTTTGAGAATGTGGGTTTTATTTCAAAATGCCCTTCCAATAATCAAATATTAACTTTAGCGTATGTTGTTTTATACGTATTTATTATCAGAAGAACATAAAGAAGGAAGAACCATTTAAATCTCTCTCCTATGTGTACATATATTCAGCAAGTTTCTAACATTTATAATGATTGCATTTATCGTGAAGATTATCATCATCTTAGATCATCAGCATCTGCCTGGTTCCAAATAAAGTTGCAGCAATAATACCTAAAACAGTATTCATAAAAAAGATTACTATCTCTTTAATAAAACATAAAACATTTTTTCCAGAGCTTTCATTATCAGTTCTTGAATGATTTAGTGCCCTTGCTTTTTTATTCTGACACATATCTGCACTGCTTTCAGAAGAATTCACTCATCACTTCACCAAGATTAAGTGGAATGTACACACTACACGGATCATTGTATATTAGGAACAATACGTTGGTCAACATTTGAGTCTGATTCTGTACCTAGTATTGTGCCAGGTTGTACGTGTATACAGAGAAATATGGTCCATCATTTCTAGGAGCTTCCAAACTATCTTGGGATTAATGACCAACAAAGAAAAAGCCAGACAGCAATAATAAATGACATATGACAAATGAAGAGAAAGGCAATAGAAACACTATAGATTATTTTTTTTTTTTTTTGAGACGGAGTCTCACTCTGTCACCGAGGCTGGAGTGCAGTGCTGCGATCTCGGCTCACTCCAGCCTCTGTCTCCCGGGTTCAAGCAATTGTCCTGCCTCAGCCTTCCGAGTAGCTGGGACTACAGGCGCCCGCCGCGGCGGCGGCTAATTTTTTTGTATTTTTAGTAGAGACGGGGTTTCACCATGTTGGCCAGGATAGTCTTGATCTCCTGACCTCATGATTCACCCGCCTCAGCCTCCCAAAGTGCTGGGATTACAGGCATGAGCCACCGTGCCCGGCCAGAAGCGCTACAGATTTTAAGGAGAGGGGGTGGGTAGTCATTGTTTCATAGAACAATTTGTCTAGAACCGACCCTTGAAAATGAATGGGATTCAGACTTGCAGAGAAAAAAAAAAATTTAGGTGTGGGTAATTGTGTGAATAAAGGAAGGTAGACTCTATAAGGCACATTATAGAGGATTACAGGGGATCGGTTTAGGAACATTGAACAGATCCATCTGGCTAAAATAGACCTTAAGAGAAAAAAATTTCCATGATATTTCCATGGAAAACTGTTGGACTCTAGGTCATTTTAGACTATAGGGACATTCTAGCCCATAGGGACTTCTAATACAAGTCTAAGGAAAAAGTACCTTATGTTATGGGAAGAGGTAAAATCTTAAAAGGTTTTTATTTTAGGTGTTAATGCATAGAATGCTGTATAAAAATTAATCTAGGTATGAGAAGTAATATGGGATTGTGAGATGCCTAATACTAATACCTAAAATTTAATCAGCACTTACTGCATAATAGGCACTGTGCTAGAAGACCAACATGGATAGGTTCATCTTTATATATCCTTAAAGACTTATATTATAATTATCCCCTTTTACAGGGGAGAACATAAAGCTAAGATAGATTCAAATTTTTTCCAAAGATCCCCAAGGTAGCCCATTTCTGAGCTGGAATTTAAATATAGGCAATAAGTCTTTATGTCAGAGTTCTGGAGTCAAAGAAGGGAGTTAATAAGTTATTAGAAGTAGTCTTTTGTGACAAATTGCTCCACTGTGTAGCCACAGTATAAATAAAGAGGAATGAAAGGGTATTAAAGACAATGTGGAGGAAAGATTAGTTCAAATTGCGCTGTGAAAGTGCAACACATTAAAGGAATAGAATTTTTTAAGTTGAGGATGTATTAGCACCGCATGCATTTCTTTGTCAAAACTTGCTTCCGCCTTTTCCTGCATTACATGGTCATGCTAGCAATAGCCAGTTATCCTAGATTGGTTTGAAAGAAAATTCAAAATGAAAACAATTTGCAGATATCTAAGAATAAGCTGATTTTGTCAGATTGCTCTGTTGGTAATGGTTTGGTTTTGCATGAATAATTTCTTTCCAATACGTATTCGGTAGAAATATACAAACCAGTTTTGCAAATAGGCCCCTTAAGAAAATGTTAGCATTGTCCTCACCTATTTTTCCTAAAGTCACCTTTCCATCTGATTGTTTTTCTTCAGTTTCTTTTGGAGTAAACACAAAGGTAGTAAGGAAAAACTGCTCAGGTAAATTTTTGTAATTTCATCTTAAACAGATTCCTATGGAAAAGTAACAATAACAATGAGCTAATTATCTAATTTTTGTCAAGTGGTTAAAGCAATTATGAAGGAAATACTGTGTGTTATTGTTGAAGTCTGATGAGTGTTACTTTATAAAGTGTCAATTAAATAAGATGAAGTAATCACCCTTTTAAGTCATCCACAATCCTGTTATCTTTGATAAAAGCAGATGCCAAAGAGTGTGTCTCTGAGACAGAGAGAACCAACATAATTATCTGAACTTAAATGTCCCTTGAAACTATGTCTGTCTCCACTTTGAATAAAACTCCTCAATGGCGGAACACTAATAAATTCTCAATAAATATTTGTTGATACAAGAAAGCATTTCAAAAGTACCTTTTTTCTAGCATCCATATAAGTAAGAAGCATTCACACTTGAGCTGCTGAGATTTAGGAATATCTCTGGTGGCTTTATTTTGCTTTTCTAACCAATGACAAATTTTGGCTACATGACTTCAGAGCTCTTTTCTATCAATTGTCTATGACTTTAACATTTCTGCTAGATTAGATATTCCCTTAGATAAAATAACACTGAGAGAAAGATTAATGGTTGTGGTTTTCTTTTCTCTAGCTTGTCATGCTTCAGTTATGTCCCCTTTAGTCTGTGGCTTAATAAGATGTTGCTTTCAGTTTAGTTGAAACTACAAGCACCATGTTGAAAGAATTTTAGCACTTTCTTCTCCTTGTTAATATTGTAACTGCCCCCCAAAACAGATCTATATAGTGAACAGAAACGTCTGAGTGGATTTCATCAATGACAAGAAAACAATAAATTATATTATTTTGACATCTATGACCAGTGCACAATATTTTGTATTAGAGAATTGTATTATGTCTAAGGAAGGCATTGTGAACCAGAGATGAAATGACAGGCTTTAAATTGGATCTTTTGCTTTGGAGAATTTAATGAAAAACTTCTAGAATGAGAGAGAGTTAAAGAAAGAATATTTCATCAAAAACATATTTCTATAACAATTATTTTTTCTGTAACCACTTTGCTATTATCTTAAATATGCATACTTAATTCAAAGCTTTTCCTTCATTTCATCAAAAATGTTGTCATGATGAAATTGAAACTTCAGATCCTTTTATTACTGAGTTATTTCAATATACTTCAGTGAGAAATATAATTTATTGGAGGTCTCACTACTACTACCATGCCACGAGTATCTATCAATGTTAAGGAATCGTGAGATTTCGTTCTTAGAATATGATCATTCTTAGCTGCATTTTTGGTCTATAAAGTAGATTATAGGGGGAAAGAATGCCATTAAGCCTCCTCTCACAAAAGCAAACACAGAAAAACAACAGCTGCAAAACCCCTGGAAGTACACATATTCCTATATTGGATCTTAAAATCCACTTTCCCTGATGAAGGCGAAATAAATGGGATTTCTGCTTTCTAATAAACTAATTCAGTGGATATTTACTTATTTTTCCAAAAACTGTGCTAGACTCTAAAACAGTGGTGTCCAATAGAACTTTCTGCAATGATGAAACTGTTCTAAATCTTCACTATCCCATATGGTAGTCACTAGCCACATGTGGCCATGGAGGACTTGAAGTGTAATCAGTATGACTGAGAAACTGAATTTATAATTTAACTTTAGTTTTAATTAATTTGAATATAAATTTACATAGCTACATGTGGAATATATTGGGCAATTAGGTTATAGAGATATACCTCTGAGAGGGATCAATGAGGGAAAGCTTAAAGACAATTAAAAAACAATTAATAGATAAAATAGCAAAGAAGAAGGACGTCAAGTATTTGAGAGCGCCTCCTTTCCAATGTTACTATTATAAATGAAGTGAAAGTTATTGGCAGTGATAAGTACCCAAATCTTAGTGATAATACAAGCAGCAATACTTTCATTTGAATACTTCTAACTAGTATTACTTGTGATACACAATTGACCTGTGAACAACATAGGAGGTATGGGTGCCAAACCTCACTGCAAGTGAAAATTCACATATAACTTTCACACCACAAAAACTTCACCACTAATAGCCTACTATTGCCCAAAAGCCTTACAGATGACACAAACTGTTGATTAATACATATTTTGTATTTTATATGTATTATATAGCACATTCTACAATAAGGTAAGCTAGAGAAAAGAAAACATTGTAAAGAAAACCATAAGGAAGAGAAACTACATTTACTATTCATCAAGTGGATGTGGTTCATTATAAAGGTCTTCATCTTTGTTGTCTTCACATTGAACAGGCTGAGGAGGAGGAAGAGTAGAGTTTGGTCTTGCTGTCTGAGGGATGGCAAAGGCAGAAGAGGTGGAGGAGGTGGAAGGGAGGCAAAAGAGCAGGCACACTCGGTGTAACTTTACGGAAATACGTCATAATTTCTGATGTTTTGTGTTTTTCATTTCTCTGCATTTAAAATGTTTCTATACAGTACCAATTCTTCCACCATTTACTTTTTTCTGCACCCATGGGTGCATGAAGGGTCCCTGTCATAAAAAAATCAAAAGCAGGCTTAAATAATCAGAACTGTTCTGCCAGGTTGTCTGATGTCAGTTAGTTTTCTTGCATTGCTGCTTCTTCATTTTTCTCATTGTCTAGCACTGGTTTTGAAGTACTCATCTCCACCAAGTTGTCTTCTGCTAATTCCTCTGGTGTGGTCTCTATTAGCTCTCGAATGTCCCCAACATCTGTATCTTGAACCCCTTCACTGCTCACTATTTTGCCATATCCACAGTCTTTTTCATGATTTCCTTGATTGGCTGTACGCAAATCCTGTCAAGTCATGCACAAAATCTGGACACAGTTTTCTCCAGCAGGAAGCTGTTTTGGGCCTGATGGCTTTCCAGGCTTTTTCTATAACAATGACAGCATCTTCAATAGGATAATTCTTCCCAACTTTCATGATTTTCTCTCTATTGAGGTTCTCTTTTGTAGAACTGGCAATCCTTTCCATAGGATATCATGTTTAATGAGCCTTGAAAGTCCTTATAACCTCTGATCTAGAGGCAGAATCAAAGACATTGTGTTGGGTGGCAAGTAGACCACTTCAATGCCTATGTTGTTGAATTCATGTGGTTCTGGGTGGTCAGGGGCATTGTCCAATGTACAAAAAAAAAAAACCTTTAAAGGGCAGTTCCTTATTGGCAAGGTACTTTCTGGATTCAGGGATGAAGCACAGATAGAGCAAATCCAGAAAAAGGGCTTTGTTGTCCAGGCCTTCTTGTTGTACAATAAAAAGCCTGGCAGCCAGTGTTTATCTTTTCCCTTTAAGCCTCATGGGCTAGCAGCTTTATAGATAAAGGCAGGCTTATCATAAAACCAACTGCATTTACACAAAACAGTAGTTAGCCTATCCCTCCCTGCCTTAATTCTTGAGCTCACATCTCTTTCTTACTAATAAGTGCACTTTGTAGATTTTTTTTTCCAGATTAGGATAGTTTTATCTGTACTAAAAACCTCTTCAGGAAAATATCCTTCCTTCTCCATGTTATTCTTAATTGCATCTGGGAACTCACTTGCTGCCTCTTCATCAGCAGATGCTGCTTCTCCTGCTACCTTGACATTTTAAAAGCAAAATCTCTTTCTAAAATTATCAAACCTTCCTTTGCTGCCATTAAATTATTCAGCTTTAGATTTTTCACTTCTCTTTTCATTTAAGTTGTCATATAATGTTAGGTTTTTCTCAAATCCTAGCAGAATCTATCAGTATGCTTTTTCTACGCAATCTTGTACTTACGTGAAATCTGCAATTATAATAGAAGATAAAAAATTATTTTTCAAAAAGTGCAAAGGTTTTGCTCCTGCTAGCATAGCTGCAGCAATGGATTCACAAATTTTCTTTTCTTAAATAATGGTCCTTAAGCTGGATTTATTTATATTGAAATGGCAGCCAAACACAGCTGCAGACCTCAATCCATAGTATGTATCAAGCAATTTGACTTTTTCTTGTAATGTCATGACTTTTGTCTCCTTCTTCAGAGAACTTCCAGCATCACTAGTAGCAAGACGTATGGATCCCATGGTATTATTCAAGGTTTACAGCATTGCACTAAACATGATGAAAATGGAGAACTACAAGAGATCACTTTTTACAGCCATACACAATTTACTGGAAAGATGAACTTCTCACATGCAGATGATTAGCTTCACACAGCATTTTAAGTGAATATTTGTGATATGGTTTGGCTGTGTGCCCACCCAAAATAATGTGTGTCATGGGAAGGACCTTGAGGGAGGTAATTGAATAATGGAGATGGATTTTTCCTATGCTGTTCTCATGATAGTGAATAAGTCTCACTAGATCTGGTGGTTTTATAAAGAGCAATGCCCCTACACACACACTCTTGCCTGCCGCCACTTAAGACATACCTTTGCTTCTCTTTTACCTTCCGCCATGATTGTGAGACCTCCCCAGCCATGCAGAACTGTGAGCCCATTAAACCTCTTTTCCTTTTCTTTCTTTTTTTTTTTCTTTTTTTTTTGAGACGGAGTTTCACTCTGCTGCCCAGGCTCGAGTGCAGTGGCACGATCTCGGCTCCCAGCAACCTCCACCTCCCAGGTGCAAGTGATTCTCATGCCTCAGCCTCCCGAGCAGCTAGGGTTACAGGCGCCCACCATGACACCTGGCTAATTTTTTTGTATTTTTACTAGAGATGGGGTTTTACCATGTTGGCCAGGCTGGTCTTGAACTCCTGACCTCAGGTGACCCACCTGCCTCGGCCTCCCATAGTGCTGAGATTACAGGCATGAGCCACCACACCCAGCCTAAACCTCTTTTTCTTTCTAAATTACCCAGTCTCAGGTATTTCTTCATAACAGTATGAAAATGGACTATACAATTTGCAACACTGGAGCTCACCAAGATAGCAACAGTATATGGCTACAAAAGTATGACAGTAATACACTGTGTATGGCAGCTCATTTTATGCAGCTATGATTTAATATTGCATATTTACATTTGCTTACATTTCTCTCTACTTGGTCCTTAAGTGTTTGTGTGCATAAGTTTTAATAAATATTAACTTTCTATAATTGATTTGTATATATTTTTATGGTAGTAAGTGATACAATAGGCTAGTACCTACATATATTTTATGCATTTGTGAAGTGCATTTTTCCTAAATTTTTTCAATATTTCTAGGATATGCAGTTCATCTGTGTTCGTAAATTGTCATAAATCTCCAAAATATTTTCTAATACATTTATTTCTTAAAATCTGCGTATAACCCATGCACTTCAAACCCATGTTCAAGGATTAACTGTATATGTACATACCTGTAAGAAACGTATTAAAATGTATCAGAAGGTGCTCCCCATGAGAAATCTGCTCCTCAGCATCTTTAAAAAACAATCTGACAGGTTTGGTCACCATCTAGTTTTGGCAATATGAGTGGCATCACCAGGGATAGGAGGGAAGTTAATTTTAGGTCAACATAAAGAAGATATTTCTAATGATTATGCTATTTTTAAATGGTATTATAATTTCCTCAGCTCACTAAATTGTTAAAGCAGAGATTAAATGATAAATTTGAGGAATAGTTTAGGATGATGCATGTATCATGAAAAAAACAGGTTAGAAATTGAGCAAATCTATGCTTTTTACCCACTTACGGCTTAGTTGCCTCTTACATAAAAATGATCATAGTAAGGTTATCGAAAGGCAGAGGACTACAACATTCATTTTAAGAACCATGACTCTTTGACCTCCTCTGGTCAATGAATTCGTCTCATGAATTACCATGAATTAAACTTAGTTTACTTTTTCAACTGATGTTAATGATACCACATTCCATGGTTGTTATAGATTAAATGAAGTACTAACACTTCATTTGAAAATGAAAACTGAAACTATTAAACTAAAGCTAAGTAGAAAGCCCTTAGCCCTTCATTGTAATTTTTTTCATCATTTAATAACACAAACTCACTAAATAAATTGATTTTTGAAAATAAAAATAATAAATAGGTTATTTTAATTTTTATATCCCTTCACACCTTACCTGCTTGTAGCCTCCAGCTATACATAATCTTCATAGCTGTTTGTATTGTTGTTACTGTTGTTCAGGTTAGTTCTTATTCCAGAGAAGGACAGAGGGCTGGAAGGAAGGAAGGAAGGAAGGAAGGAAGGAAGGAAGGAAGTGAACTTGCTAATGTTCAAGTAATAATGTGGTTTAGAAAATACAAACGTCAAATTTGCCTTTAATGGTATAAGAGGAAATAATTAAACCAAAGTGTCTGATCATCTTTGTAGGATTTCTGAAATCTTACAACAATAGAAAGCCACATTTTGTGTGTAGATCATTGTATTTATGTCACCTCATTTTACCTTACATCATTTTATTTCTCACTTCAGGTTATTTGCAGTGCACTATATTTCAAAGTGGAAAATCAGCTTTATCAAATGGAAGAAGTAACTGAGCTTATCCAAGATACTGATTTGGCTGCAATAGGCTTTATTTTAGAGCTATCTGGGGAGAAGATGGTGTGATTGTATAAGGATGGTCTGGCTTTTCAGGAAATGAAAATTTATAAAGAAAGAGAAGTGTGATTATCTAATTAGGAAAAAAAAAGGAGCAAGCTGAGAAGGAAAATCAGAAACCTGGGTAGCAATAAATAAGGGATCATCTAAGTAAAATGGTCTAATAGTAGATATTTCAAATGCATTAAGGCAAAACATTGAAGGAAGACAGTAAATTTAGTTTATTTGGATGGTACTGAAATTCAAAGGCATGCAGGGACATGGTGACAAATATGTCAATAGCTAAACAACAGTCTTAACATCAAGGAAATTTACCTATTTTTCTTCAATTGAACTTAAATGTGGGTAACGGTTTTCTTGCACTTGCATTATTTTCTTTGAGAGAGGATCAGGAAAAACTGCCTAACTAAACTGAACAGAATTTGGTTAGTATTACTTTCTCCTTCAATTAATTAAAAAAAGCAGTTCTGGATATTCAAGAAAATTAAAATATTTGGTTTATTTTAAATATTTTGGGGTAGTTTTCAAACAAATTGAAATAATGCTGATGCATTTAAATAGTTTTTTTATTTCATCCTATCAATATTCCATGAGGTAAACAGGGTAAATACTACTGTCACTATTTCATTTTAAAGAGAAGGCACAATTATGATAAACAAATGAGGTAATGATAAATGTTCATAATTACAAATTGAATCAGCAACAAAAACATTCTTTTATTATTTTAAAAAGGAGAAAAATATAGTTTTCGTAACCTATACCTTCAAATCCTACTTTCTAACATTCTCTAAGAAATGTATGCTTCCTGCCAAAGAACTCAGATATCATTTGACACAAATATTTATTAATATTTACGAAATTCAAACAAACAAACATAAAAAGAAACATAGAGGCAGGGAAATTATTTTATTTTTTCCCTTCCCGGTATTCTCCACTTTCTTTCTTTCTTCGGTTTTTTTGTTTTATTGTTTTTCCCCTGCTAAGGGAAATTGCGGGGAAAGGGTGAGTGTATATGTGTGTGTGCCTCTGTGTGTTGTGTGTGTGTGTGTGTTTGTGTGTGTGTCTTCCTTAGGTTAATAAAACCAAACCAGATAGATAAATAGATTTCTGTTATTCACAGTACTGCTAAGTCAAAATTCACATTTTCATCAGGTTGCAGGAAACTTAATAGACCATGACCTGTAATAAATAACAAAATAAGATGAAGAGGCTTTAATAATTATATGTTCATTTTTAGAGAGGCAGCCAAGGCTGTTTTCATGGTAAGGCATTACTAAATGTCACTATTCGTCTTTCTGTCCTAATTATCTGTAAATTTGTATTTGAAAAGCCTCAATTATCTAATGAAATTATTTGGAAATTATTCATTGAAATAAATAGTTTTCCAAAAAGCACTCTGGTTTTCCCTTTCATAACTGTCAGTGGAAATCTGTTCTTCACCAAGGTTTAATGTACATCAATGAATAGCACTGGAGACAATTCTTCACCCTTTGGGCAATTTTTCATAGCAGAGGGCAGTACTGTTTGAATTTAAATGATGTTGCACTCAAGGCCAATGGTAATGAGCTAGCTCTCAACTAGACATTCATTAGATATTTTTATCATCTGAATATAACCATAAGTACTTCATGCTAGCTACCACAGCCTTCATATGAATTATAAATATAATATTTAAGTTTCTTTTTAGAGGAGAAACTGTATTTCTGCTGTGAATGCAGAAGCAGATAGAGTTAAATAATATGATCTGTTTACCAAAAGTGCCTGCCATCAGAAGAAAGCAAAATGTTTGCAAAATGAGAATTGGCATGACAACTTGCTGTTTTAAGAAAAATCGTTGTCTACACTATGAGATGCATTTCTGAATACAGAATTAACCTATTAGCCCAATCTCAAATAAAGCTTCCAACTGAATGCCCAATTACTCACTCAAGAGACCACCTCCAAAATCATCGGGGCAAAGGTTTCTTTAAATAGACCAGCCTGAAGGTCAGCAGTGGAGGTCTATGATGCAATAAGGGAAAAAAGAAATGCACAGAGAATTCAAAGCACTCTCATTATTTTCCTAACTTAAAACAACAACAAAGAAACTTTTTAGTCTACAATTAACCACACATCTACCCCAGTAGATTTTAACTCCACCAGTGGGATTGTATGGAGACCATGTTTACTACCAGGAGAATGTACTCACCCTAAGACAGTACAGTAAGTCCAGGGTAAATAAATCTCCCATGCTAAGGTATCCTCCCCTGAATTTCGGTGATTGTCCAGGTGTTGATATCACTAATTGCTTTATGCACATGACCTATTGTTCTCTGTGCTAGCTAAATTTTTAGTAGAGGAAAAAGCTGGTGATGCATCTAATTTTAGTAATGAAAGCCCTGACTATGCCCTCTGCTCACCTGCTGCATATATGCATAAATGTGTCATTGCAAAAAATGTATTTAAGTAAAGGTTATCAGCCTTTAAGAATTGTAATGAGACCACCAGGTAAAGAAAAAGTCACAACTTCTATGCTATGCAAAGTTCCCCTTTTTGGAGGCCCCGTCCTAAATCATTTCTGCTCTATAAAGACTTTCACAGTACTGCTGTTTTCTGTACTTTGAAAATATTCCTCAGATTCCCCAAGCTTCCATTTTTTCCTAATAAACTTCAACCCACCTGGCTTCGTGTTGTTTCATAGTAAATCAAATCCTGAGGGAAATATGAAAATTAATTTTAAAAGAGGTGTAAACCTCAGTGAAATAATAATCTACAGGAGTTCCATTCTGTCACAAATTGGCATTCAGGCCAGAAGACTGATGCAGGATTTTTTGGTGCTGCTTTGCCAGCCAGAGATCTCCATGGCCTGACACACCCCTGCCCGGGGCCTCTCTCAGCCCTGGGATCACTGCAGGAGGCACCCCTCCCACTCGGCCCAGTGGTGGGAGCTCCTAGCTTGCACTTTGGCCTGGATCCCGCGCTCGCTGTGGGATCCGTGCTCAGCCTGCAGCTGGGCCAAGCGTACTGCAACCTGCCTCCACCTTGGGTGCTGGCATCTGGATGAGAGGAACATGGTGGCATTGAACAGGTATGCCAGCCGCAAAAGTGTTATTACAGCATGCTAAGAGCTCTTTTAGTCCCACTGCCCGTAGCCTAACAAACGGGTGTGTTAACAGTCTTTTCAGTCCCATTGCCCCACTCGAGGCTGTGGCTCTGGGGCTGGCCTGGCCCCACCACTGGGGTCACGTGGGTTGGCCACTGGGTGGGTGCCAGCAGAGGGCAGAGGGCCACAGAATTACAGCTTTTCTGTACCCGCATTCGGCAGGTCCCAAGTTCCTGTCCCATGTCTAAGAAGAATGAGGTTACGCTGACAACTGAAGGGTGAGCAGGACAGAGTTTTATTGAGCGACAGCTCTCACCAGAGAGGGGACCCAGAGAGGGCAGCCCCCACCCAAAGTCATGTAGCTTCAGTCCAAAGGTGGGGCAGTCCCCAAAGTGTGCCTGAGTTCTGGGCTTTTATGGGCTTAGAATGGGGGAGTGCATGCTGATTGGTTTGTGAGTATGCAAAAAAGCTCAAAACAAAAGAGCCACTCAAAGGTGGGCATGACAGTCTAAAAAAACAATTAAGGTCTTGGTGTGGTGGCTCACGCCTGTAACCCCAGCACTTTGGGAGGCTGAGGTGGGCGGATCACACAGTCAGGAGATCAAGAATATCCTGGCTAACACAGTAAAACCCCATCTCTGCTAAAAATTCAAAAAAAATTTAGCCAGGCGTGGTGGTGGGTGCCTGTAGTCCCAGCTACTTGAGAGGCTGAGGGAGGAGAATGGCGTGAACCTGGGAGGCAGAGCTTGCAGTGAGCCGAGATCGTGCCACTGCACTCCAGCCTGGGTGACAGAGTGAGACTCTGTCTCATAAAATAAAATAAAATAAAAGTAAAAAATAAAAAAACAATTAGGGAAGAGTAGGTATATGTAAAATAGGTGAAAGGTGAGGATCAATCAGAGGAAAGCACGCCAAATGTGAAGACAGTTTCTCAACCCTCTCTTTAAGTCCATGGATTTATCTAAGACTTGTAGCTTGGTTTTCAGGCTTCAGGCTCTCTTTGGTTTGAAGGCTGGATTTCACCAGGCACCTGTCCCATCTGCCTAGGCGTTTGCCTCCTGCTGCTATCAAGATCAAAAGATCATGAGCAAATGGATAGTTCCCCACATACAGATTACCTAATCATCTACACATTGAAAATATCAGAAAATTGATACTATCCTTGCAAGCTCTTGATGAGTTATATAGTTAAAACTTTGATCTCAAGGATCAAATTGTTCAAATTTTGACTTTGCTATGTGTGGGTTAGATGACACTGGACAGATTATTTAACCTATGTCTCAACTACTTGTATCCAAAATGAAGATAACAATAGTGTCTATTCCAAATGGCAATGAGGGTCATGAAATGATTCCAGCTGACTAGTTGTAACAGGGACCATAAGGCCCACAAAGCACTTAGCACTGTTAGCATGCATTAAGTGTTTATTTTTATAAAAATTGTTGTTATATTGTGAACTAGACAAGATGCAGATATTCTAATCAATTTCTTTGATTATTTCCTCCAGATACCACTTCCTTGGAGTTCAATCTTCTTAACTGCTTTATTTTAACTAATTAATCAATGTTAGGCATGATCCAGTTTTAGCAAAGTCCATAGATATAAATCATGGGACATTTATGTTCTAGCCTAGAGTTTGCTAATGTTTTTTCTGTCACTAGACGGATAGTAAATATTTTAGGCTTTGAGAGTCAAATAATCTCTGTTGTAACTAATCAATTATGCCATTGTAGGGCAAAGTAGCCATAGATGATACAGATGACACAAAAATGAATAAATGTGGCTATAGTCTAATAAAATTCCATAAAAATTTATGGAATCTGAAATTCCAATTTTATATTATTTTCATGTCACAAAACATTATTCATCTTTTGATTTTTTTGCCAAAATTTAAAGTAAGAAACATACTTAGCTTGCTGGCTACACACACAAAGCAGGTGAGATGTATTTGACTCTGAGGCTACAGTTTATCTAATTCAGTTTTAACCCATTATTTGTGTTAACACTTTACCTGACATATCTTGTATTTCAAGAAAAAAAATATATAAATTCTTTCAAAATTACTGACTGTTTAGTAGTCAAATTAATAAAAATGCCATAGTGATTGCCTAGTATTGTGTGGTGATATTAACATTCCTAAGAGTTACCAATGTTAAATATTCAAAACACAATTTGGCATATTCCTTAATTTTATTTTCCCTGAAAAGCAGAAATAAAGTAAAAAGCACTTTACACATCGGTACTGTGACTGCCCAGTCTGGTGTAGAGAACGTGAACCTACCTGATCGATTAAATGAAATATCACCTCTGGATTTCAAGTGAACTCTAGAACTGATGCTAGATAATTGGAAAAATAAAAACATCTGTCCAGAAGGGGGAACTTGATCTTGACCCAGAAAGGGTAAAGAACTGGATACGGATAATCTAATAATATATTTCAGCTTTGATTTCCAACATTACCTGCTTGATTAATTATGTGGCTTCATTTGAGGATGTGGAATATTTGATGTTGAAAAATTAACAAGGGAGAGGGAAGAAAATGAAGACACCAGGGAGAAAAGGAAGGAAGTACGATAAATGTAAATTGGGCCTATATAAATTTATATTTAGAGATTCCAGAGGCTGACAGTCATTGATCATTCAAGAATTTAATCTCTGCCATATTAATTTTGAGGAGATACAAGTTTTGAGTATAGATTAGTTGATTACAAGAACATGCATAGTTCCCTAAAGCAGGTGTTAGCAAATTACAGCTCAGGAGCCAAATTCACTTTCATCCTGTTTTGGTAAACATAGTTTGATCAGAATACAGTCATACTTATTTATTTATGTATTAACTATGACTGTTTTTGTGCTACAATGACAGAATTGACTAGATCTGACAGAAATCCTATGACCCACAAAGCTTAGAATATCTGGATCTTTACAGAAAACGTTTGCAGACCCCTGCCCTAAAACCTTACTACTGTAAGTGTGGTCTGGAGGGAATAGCTTATGCACCACAAGAAAGATTATTAGAAATGCAAAATCTTGGGCTCCACTTCAAGCCTCTTCAATCAGAATCCGTACTTTAACCAGCTTGTCAAATGACGTAATGACACACACACGATCGAGTAGTACCATCTTAAAATAATTTCTTTTTGTTTACAAATACATAGAACATGGGTTCATAAGCGGACATAATGTTTGCCATTTTCTGGCATATATTTGTGAGGTGATATGGTTTGGCTGTGTCCCCACCCAAATCTTATCTTGAATTATAATTCCCGTAATCTCCCCGTATTGAGCAAGGGACCCAGTGGTCAGTGATTGAATCATGGATGTGGTTTCCCCCATGATGTTCTTGTGATAGTGAGTTCTCACCAGATCTGATGGTTTTATATGTGTTTGACAATTCCTCCTTCACACACACTCTCTACTGCTACCTTGCGAAGAAAGTACCTGCTTCCCCTTTGCCTTCTGCCATGATTGTAAGTTTCCTGAGTTCTTCCCAGCCATGTGGAACTGTGAGTCAATTAAACCTCTTTCCTTTAAAAATTACCCCATTTTAGGCAGTTCTTTATAGCAGTATGAAAATGGACTAATACATGAAGATTAGACCCTAATATTTTCTATGAGTTTTAAATCTTGGTCTTCATAAAAATTACTTTCCATAGTCCACAACCCAAACTTCTTTTTATTTTTTTGAGCTGGAGTCTCACTCTGTCACCTAGGCTGGAGTTCAGTGGCACGATCCTGGCTCACTGCAACCTCTGTCTCCTAGACTCAAGTGATTCTCCTGCCTCAGCTTCCCCAGTAGCTGGGATTACAGGCATGCACCACCATGTCTAGCTAATTTTTGTATTTTTAGCAGAGACAAGGTTTCACCATGTTGGCCAGGCTGGTCTCAAACTCCTGACTTCAGGTGATCTGCCCACCTCAGCCTTCCAAAGTGCTGGGATTACAAGCGTCAGCCACTGCGCCCAGCTCACAATCCAAACTTTTTATGTGGAGATTGTGTTGAGAGGTCAAAATGAAGGTTGAAATATCTATAGGAACAGAACATTCTGAAAATACATAAGTTAGAATCTCTGTGAGTGTTGGAAGAAGGTGTTCTTTAAATTGCCAACAGGCAATGAATGTACTAAAACTAGTGGTGGTTCACATTCAGAAACTGTCTAATTGAAACACTATTAAGCTACAATAATAATATTTTAAAAAACTGTTTATAGTTTTATAGTTGAATCAGTCTGAAGAGTTTCTTTATTCTCTTAATCAGAGAGAACTTGCATCTCATCAGCATAGGTACATGTTTAAAATGGAAAATACAGAAATATGCTTATTGGATGATGGAAGTATAGCTCTATTTAATAGATATTTCATATTTAGTATTTTATTATTAAGCTTAGTTCAGTATAAGTGCACATTTTCAATGTCATGAATACATGGCATGAATGATGTGAGAAGCAATTTGCATTTATATAGCACCTTTCAAAGGCTTAGGATAGCAAAGCAAAGCATAAATGCTTGTGTAACTCTGCAATTAAGAATTCACTTCTAATTACTCCTACTTAAATGTGCAGTCTCTTTTTAATCACAACATTTTTACACCTGTGGTTAAGTGCTCTGACAGAGCCTTAACCTTATCTCTAAAGCATGCAAATTGCATGACTGGATTTTGTAATGAAGGCTTAGTTTGCCAGTGGGGAAATGATCACAGACATGTAACACCAATAACAATATTAAAGACATAGCTAAATTTAAAAGTATCATTCTCTTGTATTATCTACTCATCCAGACCAAAACACACACACGGTAATGACTGTCCAGCTCCGGAGCATGCTTAAGATTCAGGCCCAGATGTACTTCTGCAGGAAGTTAAGAGATGAGATCTGTAAACCATGTTGTAAACGTGTGCTTGCCTGTAGTAAATCTTTAGCTACTGGAGCTACAATTGCTAACATGTGAGATTCCTAGTTCTCTTGTATAACCAAGGGACTAGTAAATAACATGGTGTTAAAAAAAATTGATATCCTACTACTAGGGGAAAGCACAATTCAGCTGCAACATATGGTTCTGGAAAGCTGCAGCCTTGTAAATGGAGCTGAGGAAAGAAAAGCAATTCTGGAAAGGTGGTTGTACCTAAAGAGAAGGCCCTGGTTACAGCCATCTACATAACTGACTGCAGTAAAGCTTGAAGCCCCATTTTCAAAAGCTGATTAGAATGAAGATTTATTGGGAACCTATGGTGATCTGGGGACCAGTGTAACACAAATAGACAAGGTTTTGTTCCCAAACCTTGAAAGGCTGCCAATATACAGCAGAATTGGGTATACGTAGAAGCAAACAAATTTCAAAAATCCATAGTCAATTGTGAAGAATTAGAAGTCAGAAGTTCTTGGATTTTTGTAAAGTATTTAATTGTGTGAAAAATAACTTTGAAATAGATCATCCATTTCAAAATCAGATACTGAGCCAGTCCGAAACAGCAAGTATTGTGTGCATCTCCAGTGATCAAAATAATAACAATAACAGCAATAACAATAATAATAATCAAGTAGGTGTGTACTTTCTGTACTCAGTACAGTACAGTACTTTCTGTACTCAGGAAGGTCATAGGATAGAGAAAAAGGGAGGAATAAGTAAACATAGTGATGTGTGCTTCCATAAAGCTTTTGCAGTGTGCTATGAGAGCAAACAGGAGATATTTAATTCTGTTCGCCTTTGGAAAAACTTCAGAGAGGCAAGGCAATTTCAAATACCAGTAGGATTCTGCCAGCCATAATATTGGTGAAGGAGGAGTGAATATCAAAGAGTAAGAACATTCTAATATGAGTATTCACACAAATTCTTTATGTGACCCTTGACTTTGACCCTTGACATTGCAGTTCTAGCATATTAATTAGGAGTACAACCTCAAAAGTCAAATTGTCTCTATTTACTTCTAACTGTGTTACTCTGAACAAATTACTTAACCTGCCTGAGTCTCAGTTTCTTTATCTATAATGGGGAAAGATAAAATATGCTTTAGAGAAATGTTGTGAGGACTTAACAATATTTAATGTAAAATAACTAGCATTTTGATGCACAACTAATATTCAGTAAATGTTAGCTGCTGTTTTTCTTTTTTTTTTTTTTAACTTTTGTTTCCTTTTAAGTAATGTTCCTTTTAAGTAATTTCCAATACATGGTGAAAGAAGCAGCAAAACAAAGCCTCCTTTGCTTTAGGAAGTCTGCCTGTTTCTAGCATTAGGAGCAAAAGGTAGTGGTGCTGCCGTTGGAGATAAATAAAATATAATATCAACCACCATCTTTAAACCCGCTTTATTTCCCACTCACATTTTTCATTATACATATCTAGTCTTTACAATAATCATATGAAGCAGGTAATGTTACTATTATTCCCATTTTACAAATGAGGAAACTAAAGCTTAAAGAGAACAATTCTCAAGTTAAAAGAGCCATTTTATGAAGTCATTATTAAAATTTGGGTGTTCTAGCCAACACCTAAATGTTCATTAAGAACACCTAAATTTTAAGGGTGCCAGTTCTTAATCACTTTTTTGAAATGTTCTTAGATAGACTTTGGTCCAAAATAATCATTCTTCACGAACTGAAGCATAAGGGGAACCTGGCTTCTGTGTCCAGCAGGGTGGGTGGTCTAGGAATTATGAAAGACTCCCCTAACTAAAATTCTAAAATACTCAGAAAAAAACATATTTTTAATGACACGGGAGAGTTTACAAAAAGTCAAGAATTATGTGAAAGCAGAAATTCTGGGAGATAAATGATCAACAATACCAATTTTCAACAAGGAAATCTCTATTGAATCTTGGAGACTTGGAGATACCATAGTAATGGTCAAATGGTGTAGGGGAAAAATGCTAAAGCCTAAAGCTAACCAAACCTGGGTGACTTAATAGATGACTTCCACACACAACTAAGACCTTCAAAGGTAATCAGAAAAGAAGTGAGAGGAGCCCACGTGCCATGGCTATGATATCTCTCCATAATCCACAGCACAAAGAGCCAGAATGGATGGAAAAAAACATCATGTTAGGATGGTAGTGAATTAAAGGCTGTTTTGCTAGTTTAACTTCATGCTGCCAACCAACGGAGCTGTAGATTCATGCAGTAGTGTTCCTTTATTTGCCTTCATCTAAAATTTTACTATATGAATACTAGATTGCAATTGTATGGAAAGTACCTTGGACTTCCAGTGTAGGCTTGTTGACTAAACGATAGTAATTTGGTAACAACAACAACAAAGTATCAGAAAGAAGAATCAGTCTCCAGTCTCACCTATCATTTCTCTGACCTATATTTGGAAATGCTCACTTGGACCCAATAATTTTGTTTCAGAACCGACATTCTTAATTCAAAGAAACTCTAGGAGTTAATATAAATTCTGAATCAAATTTGGGCTTTATGTTTCCTGAGTAGACAGCACCTTACCCTCACTGTAATGTTATCTCTCCATTTCATTTTTGTTAATTATATTGTACTTGAGTTTATGGCAGTTCCATTCTTCATATCCTTGTTCATAGCCCAAGTAGTCCAAATGTGTTGACTGAAGAATATCAGAGACATGAGTCAGAAAAATGTCTAAGGACAAAACAATTTGGAGGTAGACATGAATATTTCCACTAATGGAGATCAGCCAGGATGTCCACACAGAGTGACTAAGTACATGAAGGGAGATAGAGAAAGTAAGTAAGAGTTGGTCAGAAAATTCATGTTTTTCTTACAGACTAACAAGGCACAGACGTATCACTCGGGGAGTTAGAAACAATTACACATGACTCACGCCAAGCATTTTAAAGCCACAAAATTTTCACAAAAGTATTCTACTGTTTCTCTTTCCTTCTATTCATGCTCAAATATTCCCCCCTGCGTTTCACAAAAGTATTCTATTGTTTCTCTTTCCTTCTATTCACACTCAAATATTCCCCCCTGCGTGTCTACTCTTAAGCTGGCTGGTTATGGTAGGTTAGATTATTAAAGACTTTGAAAGCTAAGAAAAAGTGTTTATATATGAGACAGGCAAAAGACAGCCTTTGTAGATTTCTGAACAAAGGAATAGCATGAGGAATGTGGAACTAAGGGAACTTCAGAGTGGAAGGAATCTGTTAGATGAACTGGAATTCAAAATGGAAGTAAAAATTGTAATTCAGATCACATAGGGATTCTTAAATATTTTCTTATATCAAATAGATTGACTACTGGTTGTTATGAGGTAGAGATTTTGTGTTTAGTTCAATTTAACTAACACTGATATTGTGCTTTCTGTGGGTCTGAGTGTCTTGCTAGCAGTTTAAAACATGGAGACAGCCATTATTGAGCTTTGCTTTGGGTTTTATCAATTCAAAAACAAAATCAATAGACATATGTGTAGTTTTCTATGTATAACACCTTAGCCAAGAAATTTTGTAGAAATGTTTCATAAAACTTCTTTTCATCTGAAGTCGCTCAGATTCTCAGAATGGCAACTAGAAGGGTGAACAGAAAATAAATTGAGAGACAGTCAGATTATGAATCCACAGAAATTTACATGGCTAATAATTTTAAATTTTGAAGTCAGAAGGACATACATTGAACTTCTGGTTCTGTCATATTTTAGCTACAGAATTTTGCATTTCTCTTTGGTAAAATGGGGATAGTAAGGTGATTCACAAAAGGTTTTCTGGGTGCAGCAAACTAGAAACTTTTGTCAAAATTATCTAGAATAACATGTGGCCCAGAAAACTCTCAGTATGTATTCATTTACTTCCTTCCTCAATATTCAAAGAAAAGCTGGAAGCATAAATTGGAATTCCCAGACCTAATAGTCTTCCTTACAAGTTCACACATCAACAGCTGATCTAGCCACTATTTTATTTTCACCCACAGCCACCAGCTTCTTACATGCATAGACAATTCTCTTACTGTTTTGGCATGTTGCACAGCCCTTTGCTATTTTACAAATCACTTCGGTTCACCTAGAGCCAAACTTTTATCCACCTAAAGGATAAAAATCACTTTAAACAAAAAAAATAATATAAAACTGTATCTCCAGAGCCAGAGAGCCCAGACTAGTTGTCCACATTAATGCAAAGAGGAATCATTAAAGCTTACTGCAGGATAACATTGTAAGGAACCACTGCATATGTTCTTTTGCTTTATTCTGTTCTTGAAAATGGAATAAAATGAGACTTGCATTTAAAAAATCTCTCTCCATGTTAAAGTACCTTTCTGTGTTGTTATGTAGGTTTTTATAATATTAAATATTCTGTTTTTCCTCCCTTTTTTCTTATCTTTTCACCATGCATGCTGGCACATGGGTTCCAGTGTTTAGCAGACCTGATTCAAATCCTGTTTGGCCAACTGCTGTCTCCCCTGAGAGAGTTACCTCAGTTCTCTGAGGCTCAGTGTATTTATATGAAAATGGACAAAAATACGCTATGGCATAGTTGTGAAGATTAAGTGAGATAAAATATTAAAACATTTGCATAGTTGTCTGATATAGGTAAAAATGCTCAATAAATATTAGCAGCGATTCATAACTATTATTACCAGACATAGGGAATGGATGTAGTAACACCTATGTAAATTCACACAAAGTTTGAACTCCCTGCAGTTCTTTAAGGCATTATATTGATAGAACTCTGAGAATCTAAAGGTTCAAGTCCACTCAGAGTCCCGGAAATTTGGACCTAAAACTGAATATTTTACCTACGATTGAATGAATATTTAGACAAAAACTGAAAAGCCAGAGACATTATGATATATACATGGGAAAATACTGGTCAAGATAGTATAAAGAAAAGAGATATGAAGGCATAATCTTTAGTGGAAATAAACTGATTTGTTTCATGCACTCTTTAAAATATGTTATTCTGTACAGAATATAAGCAGTGTGATATCTGCTATAAAATGCTCACAGATATTTACAATCATACTTTCTAACTTATTGCAGAGCCAGCCAGTCTCAGGAAGGTGATAGGCCTGACACATACTGAGGTATGTTTCCTAAAATCCCCTCACAAAGAAAGATTTTAAAAATTGATACAGTTAAGGCATTTTTTATTAATAACAAAGATAACTTTCAGTGGAAAAGAGGGGCTTATCACCAAAACAAAAACTCCAGACTGAGGAGTTGGTGTAAAATCAGAAGTCTTGGGTTTTCAATTTTGTGTTTTCTGTTTATCTGGGCAACCTTAGACAAGTCACCCAACCTCTCTGAGCTTCAGTTCCTTCCCTGTCTTAACAGGTTACTGTGAGAAGCAGAATGAGATGATGAGGGTGAAAGGACTCTGTTAGTGTTTCTAACATCACTACTCCCTTGTATGCAATAAATACCTCCACCCAGTTACCATAGACATACATAAAGTGGCTTCTGCCCTATTCTAAGATTTCTTCTGATCCTCTTATTTTTAAATTTCTAGTATCTGCCCTTCTATATGGTCTTGCTTGACTTTGTACCTCTAATTCCCTGTTGTTTACCATGCCCCTATCTCATTCAACAGCAGACATCAAATGGCACACTACCAGGCTCAGACCCACAATCCCAGAAGAGATTGTGTTTAGAGGCTGACCTTTGGCTCCATCAACACTCTGCTAGCCAACACTTTGGCCGCAAGTTCACTCTGCTATCCACAGCTCTGGGGCACTTCTCTGGCTGTCTGTTAGTAACCACTAACCTAACCCAACCTCATTGGCCAGGTAAAAGCTATCGAAAATAAACTGAAAATTGCTATCTCTATATGTCCATGAGGTTTAATACAGGAAAGCTGATAGTCAAAAGTCAAGTTCAAATGCATTGGTCTCCACAGTGAAGAATGTCTTTAGCTGAATACAAGACTGGAGTCAACACCGACTGTCTCAGAGTTTTATCTCCCTTTCCTGCTGCAGTCTAAATCATTCCAGTTCACAGAACCCTCCACAGCACAGGGAATAGCATTTGGAATATACTTCTCCTGGGACTTAAGTCCTGACCCAAGGATATGTGCTCAAAAGGCACAGGTAGGAGGAGCGAGCAGCTTCCAGGTGGATTACTGATTCTTGAGAAGGAGCTCACATACTGGAAATGGTACAGATCATCCTGAGGACAGAATACTTGGCTGGATAACAGTGATACTGTCTATGCCACACTGCCTGTGGCTCATAAATTCCAGTAACATCAGGTTGGAAGGTAATGAAGAAAGCTCAGTTTAGCAAGAATATCCCTTCCAAAAGTATGTTAAAAGTCTCCGTTAAAAAAGAGGACATTAAAGATACAACTACAAAAGAGCACTCTGCATGCCTCCAGCGCTCTTCTTCAGGCTTGGATTGGGCATCCTCTTCAGGTAAAAGCAATCTTTCTCACCTCTCCAGGAAGTCCTGGGAACCACTAGAGTTACATCATGGACCCCAGCTAACCATTAACTTGTAAGATATTGATCAAGTCACTTCATCCTCTTGACTTCAGTTTGCCCTTTTGTAAAATGAAGAGTTTTCTTCGATCTAAACGTCTGTGATGATATTCAGCCTTAAGATAGCAATAAGAATTAAATTATTCTTTTCTTTCAAATTAATGATTTTATGTTTGGAGTGAATGAAGCTATTCTGCTGAAGAGAATTCAGCATCTCAGACTTTGAGTGCTCTGCAAAAGCATTTTATGGATCACTGACTCCCAAACTTTTCCCAAATCAGCATACTAAGAAATGAAACACACTCACATTAGTAGCAGTGGCTCACCATAGTATTCATGCATATGGGTTAGGTTGGTTAAGTATCAAATGTATGTGTAAGCTGAAATTCCCCAGGTAATTCCTATATGTTCTTTTCATGCTATATTGAGAATCACTCTCACAGACTGAATTTATTACAGAAACACATAGACTGCAAAAGTTTCAAAAGAAAAGAACTTCCAAGTGGCCAGTCTTTTACTGAAAGAATTAAAGATGAATCTATTCCAGGATGCTGACTTACATAGTTATTAGACAGCATCTGCACAGCAGACTAAGGTACAAATATAAATCCAAAGAAAGGAAAATGTGAATGTAGAAGGCTTTAATTGTTAAGCTTTGTTAGTTTTTTAATTAATTAGAAAGTTAATCATACTTGATTTAACAAATTCGTTAATACAGCAATGTGGGAGGAAAAAACTTAGCAGCCACCACCTATACTTTTCTTCAGTCCACTCTACCGAAGGTAATATTTACAGCATGGGATGTATATGTCTACATCATTCTCTATGTTCGCACAAGCATACGGATTTGGTTTCAACAAAAATTGGGTAATACCATTACATAGTTACCACTACTTGTTTTTGTGCTTTTAAATATCATGGCTTCCCTTTCTGGTTATTATATAGATAGTGATAGAGGTAAAGATGTAGGTACAGATAGAGAGGTAGAGAGAGATGAGAGAAACAGAGACAGTATAGAATATATTCATTAGTGAACTATTTCCTGATGGATATTCAGGCATTTTCAGCTTTATTTGTTAACATCAAAAATTACTGGCCAGGCAGGGTAGCTCAGCTCTGTAATCCCAGCCCTTTGGGAGGGTGAGGAAGGATAAATCACTCAAGCCCTGGAAACAGAGGTTGCAGTGAGCCATGACTGCACCACTGCACTCCAGCCTGGGTGACAAAGACAGACTCTGTCTCAAAAAGAAATTACTTAAAGAAATATCTTTATACATCTCCCTCATATCCTTACAAAAAGAAATTACTTAAATAAATATCTTTATATATCTCTCATATCCTTATATATCCCTCTTTTATTTCTTTAGGTTAGAGCCCCAAAAGTGGTATTGTTGGACGAGGGGATATGACAGTATAAATTTTAAATAACTTAAATTAATTTATTTAATGTATTAAAGAAAGCCAAATTTTTTCCCAAAAAACTTTGTGCTGACTCATAGTCTCACAAATAACATATAATGGAAACCTTCTCCTACATCCCCCAGCAATGGATACAATAATTTCTATAATTTTTGCGTAAGAGTGAAAATGGCAACAGCACTGTTGCCTATTTGTGAGTTTTGACTAGTTTATTTGCAATTATTTTTCTCTAAATTACCAATTTGTGTTTATTTTTACATTTAGTAGCTTATTCTTTACAATTTGTGGGAAATTTTTGTATACTGAACACATTTCCCTTTTGTCTAAATTAGTAACATAAATTTATTTTGGGAATAGATTTTTTAAAACTGAAAGTAACAAAGCTTTCTATGTCTAATCGTAATTCAAAAATCTTGATATATTCTCTTAATTATATTAAGGATCATCTTCATATGTAAATTAGCATTCACATAATTTGACTATTCACCACCTATAAATAAATATAAAGACCTTGTTAATTATTATGTGCTTGTAGAAATTAACAAAAGTTAGAAAGAAAATAATTTTTTCTTCTCAGCCTCAAATGTAACATACTGAAAATAGTTTCGAAGAGCTAATATGACTCTCAATAAAAAAAAATTAATGAATGATTCATCCTTGGGTAATCTTCCACACCTGTTCCATCAGGATATTTAAAAAATGGTACTTTCCTTTTCTTTCCCATTAATATTGTATTTTAATGCTCTATTTCAATGAAGTTTTATTTCTCCTTCTCCCATTCTTCCTTTCTTCCTCCTCTCACTACTTTCTTCTTTCCTTATTTTAACAATGTTACTCTTTTGAGTAACTTTTGAGCTACTCTTTTGACTAACATTGGAATGTTACTCTTTTGATGGAATATTTCAGTTACTTTCTTTCCTTTATTTTTTCTCTTTCTTTTGTTTTTTAAATCAAATAATAAACAGTCCTTCAAAAGGAAGAGCAGCTAAGAATATATATTCTATCCTGTTAGAAAAAAGTATTCATATTGCCCACATTCAAAAGACAGGTAAGTGACAAAGACTTTAAAATACCTTAAACACATTTAAGACACATAGGTCAACTTGAGAAGATATCACTTCATTGTTTTCTAAATGTATGAGTTGAAGCAGGAAGTATTATTTCAGAGAAAAGAAAAGAGATTAATGAGGACAACAGCAATGATGAATTGCATGTGCCTGTGATAAAGTCTGTTTGCAAAGAAGTCTAGATCCTATCAATCTAATGAAGATGCATTAAAACAGCATTCAAGGACTTGCTTTAAAAACATAAATTTTTCAAAGTTTTATTCCATTAGATTTATTTTGGATTCCTATCATTTTAACGTACCACAAGTTGAATTATGAAATATTGGATAATCTTTCTCTTGTCACATTTTGATGACCTTGATATAAAAATGATATTTATTATTATTATATTATTCAAAGAAGGAGAGATTTCTCACAGAGAGACATCCATAAGATTCTTAGGTATTTATCATCATAGCAGATTGACCCTAAAAATGACATTATTCTGGAACAAGGCACTTAAGATGGGAGACAAAAATAAATAAAATGATACCTCAATTAAAGGTCAGGACATGAATCTACAGAAAAGTTGGTCCTTTATACAATTGGCCATCATAGAAAGCACAACCAAAATATCAAGATACATCTCTGCTGAGAAAGTAAATTGTCAAGCTCTGCACAGCCATATTTGCCATTCAACACATTTAAAGGAATTTAGTATCACTCATAAAATTTTGCAGACATACAGAAAAGAATTGCGATCCTCCATTAACTGTAATGATACCTATTATTATTGCTGACAGTGATTGAGCACTTACTATGTGCCTAGCACCTAAGGAATATATGAGATTTTCCAACCGGTACCCTAACAAGGCCACTTAAATGAATCTGACTCCGTTCATTTTATAGGGAGGAGAGGCATAGAGGAACTGACAGACCTCCACAGAGCAACACTACCTTGGGCTCATAGGAGGACAACATCTACATCTTTGGGCTAGTCTGATGACAGAAATCTATAATGCCTGATTAATTGTGCTTCAAAAATGTATGGTGGGCCTGGCGCGGTGGCTCAAGCCTGTAATCCCAGCACTTTGGGAGGCTGAGGCGGGCGGACCACGAGGTCAGGAAATCGAGACCATCCTGGCTTACACGGTGAAACCCAGTCTCTACTAAAAATACAAAAAATTAGCCG